>NC_000002.12:150822951-151125981 GCF_000001405.40 Homo sapiens
GCGATCGATCCTTGGAATGTATGAAGGAATTTCACACCATGAAAACAACAATTGTTTGGACATATGGTTACTCTCTCAGAAAACACAAACTAAAAATTCAGGATAAACTTCAATGAGAAGATTTAAAGCAGCAGGCATTCATTCAAGTGTAGCTTTTTTATAAAACTTTTTTTTGTAATGGCTTTATATTGTTTGAGCAGACCTCATTTGAGGCAAGAAAACAATAATGAGGCTTTTCTCATGATTATTGCATGTCCTATTGCTGACTTTATTTATTAATATAGGTCATTTCTTTCATCTGAATAAGCTGTCTTATCCTATCCTAGAAAGCCATATTTCTTGATTCACATTTTAAAAAGAAAATAGGATTGTTTCCCTATTTATAGGATTTAATTAATATCAATTTATTTAATTTTCTTGAGCACCTTATATTGTCAAAAATTATATTCAGTAAAGGTAGGTGAAATAATAACTGAAATGATCCTTCCTCCATTCAGCACTCAGTGGGAGAGACCTATAGAAAAGCGGAAAGAAACTCTGCTATGTGGTACAATCAATGCAAAGGTAAAGGAGAACAGAGGGTTTCATCATGCACAGAAGAGGCACAGCAATCTCATTGCCAGATATATACCCAAAGGAATATAAATCATTCTACCATAAAGATACATGCACATGGATGTTCATTGCAGTACTATTATTCACAATAGCTAAGACATGAAATCAACCTAGATGCCCATGAAAAGTGGACTGGATAAAGGAAATGTGATATATATATACACCATGGAGTACCATGCAGCCATACAAAAGAATAAGATCATGGCCTTTGCAGCGACATGAGATGGAGCTGGAAGCCATTATCCTGAGCAAATTAATGCAGGAACAGCAAACCAAATACTGCACATTCTCACTTATAAGTGGCAGCTAAACATTGAGTACACATGAACATAAAGAAGGGAACAATAGGCATTGGGGCCTATTTTAGGGTGGAAGGTGGGAGAAGGGTATTGAAAAACTACCTATCAGGTATTATGCTGATTATCTGGATGACAAAATTATGTGTATATCAAATCCCCATGACATGCAATTCACTCATGTAACAAACCTGCATATGTACCCTTTGAACCTAAAATAAAAGTTGGAAAGAAAAAAAATGAATTAGGATAAACTTATTAAAAAAAAAAAGTCTGGCTCCCTGAGATCAGTGTTAAAGGACATGAAGGATTTAACTGCCTGAGAAGAGAAAATGAGCTTTCTAGGCAGGGAGGAGCAAGTGCAAAGCCTAAGATCGTATGTGAAAGTGTGGGCCTTGGTGTCATAGAGGGGTGGTGATAAGCCTTTGAGGAAGTTTTGAGTCTCAGCCCAAAACACTGTTTCTCAAATTGCATGAGAACTGTTTGGACATGTTTCTCAATACACACACCCATGGACACTCATGTGCTTTCAGAACTGATCTACAATGGTGATGATTCCTCCATGGGTATTAAGATCACTGGGGGAAATTTAAAAAAAAATTACCTTTCCTGAGTCCTGCCTTCAAAGATTTTGACTCAGTTGTTCTGTGGTGGATCAGAGCATGATATCACCCCAGATAATTCTAATGTTTAGCCAGGGTCAAGAATCAAGAAGGGGGCAATTGCACATTCACAAGCTGCCAGGTGATTCAGATGCTCATTACCAGTCTAGAATTGCTGCTCTGAGGCTCAGCACAATGCAAGCTAAACACTATTCACCAAAGCAGTTGTCCTCAAAGTGTGATTCCCAGACTAGTAGCATCAGCACAACCTGGTGACTTAGTCTGTTTGAGCTGTTACAACGAAAATACCATAGGTGGTTTATATACAATAGAAATGTATTTCTTAACAGTTCTAGAGGCTGGGAAGTCCAAGATAGTCACCAGCAGATTTCACGTCTGGTGAGGACCCGTTTTTTAATTCATAGGTGACGCCTTCTTGCTGTGTCCTCGCACACTACAAGGAGCAAATAAGCTCCCTCTGGCCTCTTTTATAAGGGCACTAACCCCATTTACGAGGGCAGAGCCCTGATCAACTCCTAAGAACTCCACCTCTTAACACTATTACCCTGGGGATGTGGCTTCAACATATGTATTTTGGGAGGACACCAATGTTCAGACTATAGCACCTAGGTATTTGTTAAAAATATCAACTCTTCAGTCCCACCCTAGACTCCAGACTCACTGGATCAGAAACATGAGGGGTCAAGTCCAGCAACCTATCCTCTAGCAAGTCCTCCAGGTGATTCTGATGTAATTAACTTTGAAAACCTATGCACTAAAGAGAAACTGTTGCAGTGTGTGTATAAGTGGATGTGTTTGTGTATTGGGTGGCAGGGGAAGGGAGGGAAGGCGATGCACAAACCTATCTCCTTGAGTTGCTAAATAAGGGGCAACGTTTTTATAATTTGTCTCTCTTGGCATGAGGCACATTTCTACATAAATTGCAGAGCAAGAAAAATAAAACAGGTGATACTTTTAACTTTCCTTTTTCTGGTATGTGACTCTCTTCTGGCCATCTCATCTTCCTAGAGCAGCTATAGCTTGATTGTTATTTAACAAGTGCCAGAAAACAAAGACTAAAATATAAACACTTTATAATATAAACTCTTAAGGAAACCCTAGGCATATGTGTTCCACATTCTGTTTCAAAATGCATTAGATTTGGCACATCACATTTCCTCTCCCTAAGTTTTTGTTTTAAATTAGTCTTGCTTTACAAAGAGGCAGGGAAGGGGTGTCGGATATTGTTGAGATAGAGGTTGCTAAGAGCCGCACTTATGGTTGACAATGTAGGTGTCCTAAAAAGTCTTCATTTCTGTCTGTTTTTAGAATATTACATCCTTAGCAAAGGACAAAAATGGCTAATTAAGTTTTAGTGAGAAGTACCTCCGTGTTGTGATAGTTTCAGTTATTTCTGGCTTTGGGTTGCTTTTCTTCTCTAGGGAGGGCTGCATGAGCTTTGGGAAGAGCATGGGCTCTGGAGTTATACAGACATGGATTCTAGTCCAGGCACTCTAGCTTATGTCTCCGGGAAATTGGTCAAGTTATGCAATATTCCTGAACCTCCATTTCCTTTAGATGTAAACTAAGGATAATGATTCTTCCTTTAAATGATTATATTGTTAGCGGCAGATAAGACAAAGTGTATGTCCCATTGGAGATGCTCAGTTATATTAGTTCTTTTCCCCTTTCTCTTCCTTGCCACCTTTTAACCATGATGCCAGGAAGAGTTCTCTAGATTGGGTCTGAAATACTCTGAATCCTTCTTCTCTTACCAGTGATAATCTTGGTATAAGAAAAAGCACTGGGCCAGGCACAGTGGCTTGTGCTTGTAATCCCAGCACTTTGGAAGGCTGAGGCAGGCAAACTCCTGAGGTCAGGAGTTTGAGACCAGCCTGACCAACATGGTAAAACCCTGTCTCTACTAAAAATACAAAAAAATTAGCCAGGCATGGTGGCATGCACCTGTAGTCCCAACTACTCAGGAGGCTGAGGTGGGAGAATTGCTTGAACTCAGGAGGCAGACGTCGCAGTGAGCCGAGATTGCACCACTGCACTCCAGGCTGGGCAACAGAGCGAGACTATGTCTCCAAAACTAAAAAAGAAAAAGGATTGCAGTGGGTGGGTTATCTCGTGAGGACATGGACTAATAAACTCTATCTACAATAAGGAAAAATATGTAAAGATACAGCATTGCTGTAATTACAATCAACTGTAAACGTTAATTCTGTTAATTCAGTCCAGAAGCCAATAAATATTGGACACAGCTCTGAACTTAGCTCTTAACTTTTTTGTTTGAGCATCCAAAATACTTTTAGAACAGATTTCAAGGCTCAACACAGGTACACCATTCCCTTAATACATAGAAAACTTCAAGAAAATAATCCAGAATGGTGCAGCTAGCTCCAACATTAGTCACATTTAGACCCAGCCCTTGTTATAAATATATATTTGGAAATTGCACACATGATTCTCTCATTGATAATACTTCCCAAAATAAACCTAATGGTAACATAGGGCCACAGCCTGACACCCATTGGGCTGATGTATTTCAGAATGCAGAATTTTTCTAATTTTATGGAGGTAATACCGCCCATTTACCTTGTATTAAGTAACACCCCAGTAGGTCTGGGAAGCATTCATGTTCAAACATATTAATATTTCCACCACTTAATATGTAAACATTCATATGAATGAGATAAAGGCCAAAAGAGCCTCACATTTAATTTATGCCATAAAATAAGCTCAAATCAAGTTTCAAAACCAAATGAGAAAACTTAAGAGTTTTCAGAATTTTTGACTTTCAGAATTATAAGTAAACTATTGAAGACACACAACATATCTTCCCTTAGGGAGTTTTAAATCCTATTAAGTTACTATAACCAAAAATTTACACATCTCATGGGCAAGATCCAAATTGCATTTAAAGCCACTTGTTCAATTATAAAAGGGCATATATTATTTCCAGTCACGCCATTGTACTTTGAACACGTAAGGGATGACTTTTAGTTCATGATGATGATTTTAAAGGTATTGAAGGAAAAAGTCTTCAAGTGAGAATAAAAGTTGGTTTGCCAAATTATTTTTAAAACATTTTACAGATTTGAAAGGGAAAATTTGAGAAAATTTATTTTTTTGGAAATTAAGGAAAATAAGACTTTTTAAAAAATCATTGACATTTTAGGTCCTAAAAACTACAGCGAGTAATGGGTGAGCTTAATTCCTAGAGCATTCGCTCCTCTGTTTTAGATGGCATTAAAAGCAGGGACATTCCTATAGGACCTGCCAGGGCCCTTCAGCACTAGCATACCCTGCTGGGGAGTGCGGCAGGTAAATGGAGGAATAGATGCAAAGGTTTCATGTGGCAAAAACAAAAAGGAACAGTGTGGCCAGGTGCAGTGGCTCACACCTGTAATCCCAGCACTTTGGGAGGCTGAGGCAGGCAGATCATGCCTGAGGTCAGGAGTTTGAGACCAGCCTGGCCAACATGGTGAAACCCATCTCTACTAAAAATACAAAAATTAGCCAGGTGTGGTGGCATGTGCCTGTAATCCCAGCTACTCGGGAGGCGGAGGCAGAAGAATCACTTGAACCTGGGAGGCGGAGATTGCAGTGAGCCGAGATCATGCCACTGCACTACAGCCTGGGTGACAGAGTGAGACTCTGTCTCAAAAAAAAAAAAAAAACACAACAGTGTGGTAGAATTTCCTGAGTATTATGATGAAAAATACTGTGGCCTGATATATTTTGGTCTTTCCCAAATATGTCTATGCTCAAAGCATCTTTGAATGTGATATTTTGTAGGGATCTCATAGGCTTTATTCACTCAATCAATCACTATTTACTGAGATACTACTTATGTGCCAGAAAGAGTACTAGGCCCTTGAGATACAATGGTGAATAGAAAGCCTTTGTTCTATTCATAATGCAGTGGAGAGATATAAGCAGTTTCTGAGGAAAATAATTTAGGTTAGGCAGATGAAAAACATCAGGCTTCCGATCCCACAGTCATCACATTTTCTTAACTTGCTTTGTGCCTTCAGATAATTTGGCATTCCTACCTTTGGATTAGGTAAGAACAGAATGCAGTTCATAAAAATAACTACAATTAATTGAGCATTTTGTATCAGGCCTTTCACTAAGCCCAGTTATGTAACTATCTCATTTTATTCTCACAACAACTGTATTAGAAGTACAATTATTATTATTATTTTACAAATAAGTAAAACAAAGATTAGAGAGGACAAAGAATCCTTTCTAGCTCCCACCACTAAGTACAGGTCCAAAATTTCTGTATTCCCAAATCTGAAAAGCTCTGAAAACAAAATATGTTTTTCATAATTGTTTAGCATCAAATCTTGCCCTAAACAGTCTTTATATTGCTCTCTTAGGGAAAAAAGTTCCTACATTCATATACTTCTCTACAGCAATAGTCATATGCTTGATTAAGGAGTACTTCCTTAGACCCTGCTGGGGATATTATGTAATACATAATAATGCATTGTATTTCCTTTCTAAAATAAGAATAATTCTAATTTATGACACATCCAAGAATTTTAGATAAGAGATATAGAACTCTGGTTTATTTATCTCCAGGCTATCCTTACCAGATAGTTCTCAAAAACCTCTTTTAACAAGTCTATAGTACTTAGGGTGGCCATATAATTTATCATCGAAACATTTCAGATGCATTACTAATAATTACTCAGGGACAGAGGGCATAAATTGGGATCATTCTGGGCAAAAAAGGATGTATGGCCCACCATAGTTTGGTGACCATGTGGCCTGAGGAAGAGTGAATGCCCAGTAATTGATGAAGTGTTTATATCTGAGTTAGATGGAATTTGCCTGCTAAAGTAATGTAAGCATAGCAACTATAAGCTTTTAAGAGTTTTAGAAAGACTTTAAGAGGGGTAATGGCTCTTGGCTTTGAGAAAAACTCCCTCTGACCCAGTGTGGAAGGACCATGGGTATGAAACTAAGGACAGCTATAAGTAAAAAGGTTATCTTAACAATTAGGCAAAACCTGATGAAGACTGAAAATAATACATTATTAGCACAGTCTACACTCAAGGGAAGGAATCATTTGAATTGCAGATGGATGACCAATTGGATATGGGCAATAAAGGAGAGAGGGGAGTCTAGGAAAATTCCCAGACACTTGGCCCAGACACTTGGAAAATGATTTGCTGAGATAGAGAACTCAGATAGCCACTTTTGGGAAAATAGCCTGAGATCTTCAATTTAGTGTGTCTGGGATACTTCAAACTCTACTAGCAGAAAAATTTACATGAAATTAGGTAATAAGGAGTATTTCTTTCTACCACTCCATCCCTTGTCCCAAATGGACTGACACAGTACTTTAAACATGGTAGATGCCAAATAAAGATTTTTGTCTGTTGCCTGTAAGGATTCTTGAGGTATTGACTGCTAATCTGCAGTATAATTATCCCTAGTCAAGGATTATTCACTGTATTAGTTAGGGTTCTCTGGAGAGACAGAATTAATAGGATAGATATATAAATATATATAAAGGGGAGTTCATTAAGTATTAACTCACATGATCACAAGTTCCCACAATAGGCTGTCTGAAAGCTTGAGGAGCAAGGAGAGTCAGTCTGAGTCTCAAAACAGAAGAACTTGGAGTCTGATGTTTGAGGGCAGAAGGTATCCAGGATGGGAGAAAGATGTAGGCTGGGAGGCTAGGCCAGTCTCTGCTTTTCACATTTTTCTGCCTGCTTTATATTTGCTGGCGCTAATTAGATTGTGCCCACCAGATTAGGGTGCATCTGCCTTCCCCAGCCCACTGGCTCAAATGTTAATCTCCTTTGGAAATACCCTCACAGACACACCCAGGATCAGTAGTTTGCATCCTTCAATCCAGTCAAGTTGACAGTCAGTATTAACCATCACAAGTCTACCCCTTGTCAACTTGAACCCACACACACCTCCTCAGATCATATATAATCTTCAAATAAAGACAACAATAAGATTATAATACAACTATCTTTCATACAACCGGAAACACACCAATCCCCAACTCAAATACTATTACGTAAAGTTAATGATATTTAAATGCTGATGTAAACTCAATAAATCTTGTCACATGATAAAGGATAAAAGAAATAAAATGAAGATATTTTCTTAGTACAAGAGTATACCTGCACAAACATGTTTTTAACAAAAGAATGAGGAATACTCATGATAATTACAGTCCTTGTTTCTGCAACTGGTCACATGGTAATAGCTGGCATTGATGACTACCTTCTTCTACTGACAATTCTGTATTCCCTTTGCCTTCAGCAAGCACCTCAGCAGGTCATGGTTTTTTTCCTGGTGGAGTGACCCAAACCTTCATTCCTGAAGGATCTGGACCATTTGCAGTCCTGCCTGGATTGGACTGTTGTAGTTTCCCATTGACCTTAATCACAGGGCATGCATGGTAACATTAAGAGATGCCCTAATGGATCTCCTGTATTCCACGCACACTCTTCCTTACCTCAGTTATGGAGTAGTAGAGTGATTTCATCTTGATAGCCTGAGTCAATCACCCCACTCAATACTGTAACTCTTTTCTTACTCTGTTGACTTAAAGGTAGGAGGAGCATAAAGTGTCCAGATGGCAACTGTAACTTCCAGTTTAATGAAATCATTGTTGCGTCTCCTGGTGGCAGCATTCCTCTCTCTGGAACTAAGACCTCTAGGCCAGCAGAACATAATGTCATGGGAACAGAAAGCAAAAATGTTGCTAGTGGGTCACTAAGGGTGATTGTGAGTGGTGCCACTTCCACTTCCACCCCTTGATTCCGGGACCCATGAATCCTGGCTATGGGAGAAACAGTATCACGTATTGGACACTGATTCAAAGCATACATGGCCTTCTAGAGAATTTTGCCGCAGCCCTACAAAGTATTGTCACCAAGTTGGCATTGTAATTGTGACTTCAAAAGGCCATTCCACCGTTCTATCAATCCAGCTGCTTCAAGATAATGGGGAACATGGTAAGAGCAGTGAATCAGTGAATTCCATGAGCATGAGCCCACTGCCTCACTTCTTTAGCTGTAAAGTGAGTGCCTTGGTCAGAGGCAATGCTCTGTGAAATACCATGACCGTGGATAAGGCATTCCATGAGTCCACGGATGGTAGTCTTGGCAGAAGCACTGCATGCAGGATAGGCAAACCCATATCTGGAGTAAGTGTCTATTCCAGTGAGGACAAACCTCTGCCCTTTCCAAGATGGAAGAGGTCCAATATAATCTGCCGCCAGGTAGCTAGCTGATCACCCCAAAGAGTGGTGCCATATCAAGGTCTCAGTGTTGGTCTCTGCTGCTGGCAAATAGGGCACTCAGCAGTGGCCATAGCCTGGTCAGCCTTGGTTAGTGGAAGTCCATGTTGCTGAGCCTATGTGTATCCTCCATTCCTGCCACCATGGCCACTTTGTTCATGGGTCCATTGGGCGATAACAGGGGTGGCTGGGGTAAGACGCTGAGTGGTGTCCACAGAATGGGTCATCCTACCCACTTTATTATTAAAATCCTCCTCTACTGAGGTCACCCCTTGGTGAGCACTCACATGGGATACAAATATCTTCACAGCTTTTGACCAGTTGGAGAGGACCAGCCACATAACTATTCCCCAGATTTCTTTGTCACCAATTTTCCAATCATGCTTCTTCCAAGACCCTGACCATCCAGCCAAACTATTGGCTACAGCCCATGAATCAGTATATAATTGAACATCTGGCCATTTCTCCTTCCATGCCAAGTGCACAACCAGTTGCATTGCTCAAAGTTCTGCCCACTGGGAAGATTTCCCTTCACCATTGTCCTTCAGGAATGTCCTAGAAAGGGGCCGTAGTGCTACAGCTGTTCACTTTTAGGTGGTGCCTGCATATCATACAGAGCCATCTGTGAACCTGGCCCTGGTCTTCTCTTCCTCTGTCAACTGATCATAGGGAGCTCCCCATGAGGCCATCGGTGCGGGCTGGGGAAGAGAAGGCAGGGTGGCAGCAGTGGAGACCACGGGCATTTGAGCCATTTCCTCATGTAACTTACTTGTGCCTTCACAGCCTTCTTGAGCTTGATCACGTATATATCACTTCCATTTGATGATGAAATGCTGCTGTACATGACCCATTTTATGGCTAGATGGGTCAGCAAGCACCAAGTTCATGATAGGCAATTCAGGTCTCATGGTGACTTGATGACCTGTAGTCAAATGTTCAGTTTCCACCAAAGCCTAGTAACAGGCCAAGAGCTGTATCTCAAAAGGAGAGTAGTTATCTGCAGAAGTTGATAGGGCCATCCTCCAAAATCCTAGAGGCCTCCACTGTGATTCACCTATGGGAGCCTGCCAAAGGCTCTAAACAGCATTCCTATCTGCCACTGACCTCCAGCACCATTGGATCTGCTGGGTCATATGGCCCAAGTGGCAGAGCAGAACAGCTTACACAGCAGCCTGGAACTGTTGCAGAGCCTTCTCCCGTTCTGGGCCCCACTCAAAACTGGCAGCCTTTCAGGTCACTTGAAACATGAGGCAGAGTAACACACCCAAATGAGGAACACGTTGCCTCCAAAATCCAAATAGACCCACTAGGTGTTGTGCCTCTGCCTTGGTTGTAGAAGGGGCCAAATGCAGCAACTTATCCTTTACCTTAGAAGGAATATCTCGACAGGCCCCACACCACTGGACCCCTAGAAATTTTACTAAGGTAGAAGTTCCCTGAATTTTAGTCAGATTTATTTCCTATCCTCTGCATGCAAATGTCTCACCAATAAGTCCAGTGTGTTTGCTACTTCTCGTTCACTGGATCCAATCAAAATAATGTCATCAATGTAAGGGACCAGTGTAATATCTTGTGGAAGCGAAAAGTGATGAAGACCTCTCTAAATAATATTATGACACAAAGCGGGAGAGTTGGTATATCCCTGAGGTAGGACAGTAAAGGTATATTGCTGGCCTTTCCAGCTGAAGGCAAATTGCTTCTGGTGGGCCTTATGGACAGGAATGGAGAAATAGGCATTTGCCAAGTCAATGGCTGCATATTTGGTACTAGGAAATATGTTAATTTGTTCAAGCAATGAAACCACATCTGGTACAGCAGCTGCAATTGGAGTCACCACTTGGTTAAGCTTACAATAATCCACTGTCATTCTCCAAGATCCATCTGTTTTCTGCACAGACCACATGGGAGAGTTGAATGGGGATGTGGTGGGAATTACCACCTCTGCATCTTTCAAGTCCTTGATGGTGGCACTAATCTCTGAAGTCCCCCCAGGGATGCAATATTGTTTTCAATTTACTATTTTTCTAAGTAGAGGCAGCTTTAATGGCTTCCATTTGGCCTTTCCCACCATAATAGCCCTCACCCTACCAGTCAGGGAGCCAGTGCAGGGATTCTGCCAGCCACTTAATATGTCTATGCCTATTATGCATTCTGGCACTAGGGAAATGACCAAAAGAAGAGTCCAAGGGCCCACTGGACCCACTGTAAATCAGACCTGAGCTAAAGCTCCATTAATTACCTGACCTTCATAAGCCTCTACTTTAACTGGGGACCACAATGACATTTTGGGTCCTCTGGAATCAATGTCAGCTCAGAGCCAGTGTCCAGTAGTCCCTGAAATGTCTGATCATTTCCCTTTCCCCAGTGCACAGCTACCCTGGTATAAGGCTGGAGGTCTCCTTAGGGAAGGATGGGAGAAAGATTCACTGCATAAATTTCAGTAATATGGGGTCCTTACACAAGGTGACCCAGCCTCCCCTTCTTTCAAGGGGTTGTGGGTCTGTAAACTGGCTCAAGCCCAAAAATTTATTGATGGGCCATGATTCTCTGTTTTTATAATTCAAATTAGCTTTTCATCCATTGGACCTAGAAGTTTTCTGTTTATATAAATTAAGCAAGAATGCAGTGGGCTTCCTATCAATTTTACTTCTAGGAACACCATGATTAATTAGCCAATGTCAGAACTCTACAGGAGTCAGACTATTCTGATTGTCACTGTGCCTCTGCTGTCCATTTCAGTAGCTATGCCCCTCTTGCCTTTGATGGTTGAGTGCTGCCACTTGGCCCCTGCCACCCTGGGATCCAATTATTCCCATTATATTTAAATTTTGTAGTGGAGTGATTGTGGTTCCCACTGTTAGATCTGACATACAGGGAAGAGCAATTACAAAGCTCTTCAGTGATACAGGTGCTGCCCTCACAAGTCTATTTTGCAAGGCATTTGTCAAGGGTATATCTTCTTCAAGCTCCCAGCTGGGATGAGTAGGTCTAAAGTGACTAATCCACTCCACCATCCCAATCTCCCTAAGCCTTTGGATCCCTTCCTGTACATTAAACCAAGGAAGCTCAGGCATTTCTAGCTGGCTCACAGTGGGCCATCTTTTAATCTGTATTTCAGCTAACCAAGCAAGTAAACTATTAGAACCTTTTTTGACTCCCTGAGCTGCAACACTAAATGAAGAGTCCCTACTTAGTGGGCCAAAATCAATAAATTCAGCCTGATCCAACTCTATGTTCCTTCCACCATTATCCCACACCCTTAATATCCTTTCCCATGCCTGTTCTCCAGATTTCTGTTTATATAAATTAGAAAACTCAAGCAGTTCTTTTTGAGTGTAGCACACCTCCTCATGGGTCACACTCTCAATCTCACCTCTAGGGGCCCACTGGGACTTTAGTTATAGGTTTAGAAGCAAACAGGAGTGTTGGGGGTGGCTCTTAAGGAGAATCAACATTATTTTGCCTGGCAACTGATTCAGGGGAGGACAACACTTTTGCCTCAGGCAACACAGGATTTATCTCCTCAGACAAAAGTGGAAAAGCTGATGGCAGCATGGGTCGGGGAGGGGATGTTGCCATTACTGGGGATGGGAAAGCTGTTTCTTCTGGCAAAAATGGTCCAACAGAGTTTACAAACTCAGTGTCCCCAGCTTCACCAGTGTCCTCCCATATATCCCCATTCCCAGTTGCAGGGTGTCATTCTTTTCCAATCAATGACCTCACTTTAACAGTAGACACCTGGCGAGGCTGTGCATGCACTTTTCATTGCAGGTCAGCCACTTGGATGATAAGAGCTTGTGTCTGTTTTTCCACAACTTCAGCTCTGTCTCTATAGGAGATAAGACTCTCACTCAGGGCAATCTTAGCAGATTTGAGGCTCAGTATCTGCTTCTGAATCCAGGAGATAGAATCCCTGAGTTCATCATTTTTTTCACGACATTATCTACTGAACTTAGGAGCAACCAACCAGCCCCATTATGTTCCTTGATTCTCCACATATGGTCAGAGGTATTATGTATAGAGTCACTAAACTCCTTGCCTCTCACAAGCAGTGAATCAGGAGTGTCAAATGCATTTATTTTGTGTAACTCTCTAATCAGTTCACACCAAGTACTATCAGCATTCTCCATACTATTAGAAGTAGAGGCCTTAGAATTTTGGTGTCCAATCATATGAAGTAGCCAACTACAGAAACCCCAAAACCGACAAAAGAACTCCATCTTTAATATTCTGTTCCTCTAGAACCACTCCTGGTACCAAAACCTGTATTAGTCAGGGTTCTCTGGAGGGACAGAACTAATAGGATAGATAGATATAAAAAGAGGAGTTTATTAAGTATTAACTTACCTGATCACAGCATTCCACAATAGGCTGTCTGAAACCTTGAGGAGCAAGGAGAGCCAGTCTGAGTCTCAAAACTGAGGAACTTGGAGCTGATGTTTGAGGGCAGGAAGCATCCAGCATGGGAGAAAGATGTAGGCTGGGAGCCTAGGCCAGTCTCACCTTTTCACATTTTCTGCCTGCTTTATATTTCCTAGCAGCTGATTAGATTTTGCTCACCAGATTTAGGGTGGGTCTGTCTTCCCTAGCCCACTGACTCAAATGTTAATCTCCTTTGACAACACCCTCAAAGACACACCCAGGATCAATACTTTGCATTCTTAAATCCAATAAAGTTGACACTCAGTATTAACCATTACATTCACCTTTAAACTTTGGTATGTTAGTTGTAAACTTAGGCATGAAGGGTAGGAAAATGCCACCCCAAAATATGCCACTTTGGCATAAAAATTATTTTGAACTGAAGCCAATTAAGAAGTAAATACAAGAAAAGCTCTCTGCTCACTCCCTATTTGCCTAAAAGCACTTCATAAATTCACAGAAGTGTCCCTCCTCCCATCTCTACCAGGAAGGACAAAGGCTGATCAACTTCAGGATCAGCAAACATTTATTGAGTACCTATTATGGACTAGGTCCTGGGCAAAGAAGGCCCCAACATATGATAACATGTATAAAGTACACACCCACAATGAACAATGCCATGTACGCACAGATGCTCAGTTAATATTTTGCTGAGCCACTTGGAGGTAATGAGACTATATTCAAGCTAATAATGATGTCAAAACTGCCATCCCCAAATAATTATTATTACATCACTTTGTGTGATGAAACATATTCAAATGCTCTTCTTAGCTTTACTGAATGTAATAGAGCTGCATAATCTGTGATAATTCATTGTCTGATCAACATCGCATAATTAATATATTTTGAAGAGGGCTTCTTAGCCTCAATTGCCCTAATAATAAGATATGCAGCTGTTGATAAAACAGAAATGAAGATCAAAAAACATCCAATCTACAAAAAGAGATGTATTTGCTTTACTGCCCTGCCCTTCTTTGCATAATTTCCCCCATCATCTGCTTAGTTTTTCATTTTAATGATTGTGATCTAGTTATTATTTTTGGTAATCACATCCCTGGAGCACTTAAACCATGTTTGAGCTTCACAGTCTGGGCAGACATTTAACTGTTTAGAAGGCTTGTATATATGTCTCTAAAAATGCCAAAATACACAGACAAGAAACTATAAAGAAACTGGTTGAACTTTTTTTTTTGGCATGGTTAGTGTTTTTTCCTGTAAGTTATTGGGGTACAGGAGGTATTTGGTTACATGACTAAGTTCTTTAGTGGTGATTTGTAAGATTTGCATGCACCCATCACCTGAGCTGTATACACTGCACCGTATTTGTAGTCTTTTATCCCTCACCCACTTCCACCCTTCCTCCCAAGACCCCATAGTCCATTGTATCATTCTCATACCTTTGCGTCCTCATAGCTTAGCTCTTAAATATCAGTGAGAACATACAATATTTGGTTTTCCATTCCTGTGTTACTTCACTTAGAATAATAGTCTCTAATCTCATCCAGGTCACTCGAAATGCTGTGAATTCATTCCTTTCTATGGCTGCATAGTATTTCATCATTTTTATATACCACAGTTTCTTTATCCATTCATTGATTGATGGGCATTTGGATTGGTTCTACGATTTTCCTATTGTGAATTGTGCTGCTATAAACATGCGTATGCAAGTGTCTTTTTCAAATAATGACTCCTTTTCCTCTGGGTAGATACCCAGTAGTGGGATTGCTGGATCAAATGGTAGTTCTACTTTTACTTCTTTAAGGATTCTGCATACTGTTTTCCATAGTGGCTGTACTAGTTTACATTCCCATCAGCAGTGTAGAAGTGTTCCCTGTTTACCACTTCCACACCAACATCTACTGCTTTTTGATTTTTTTATCATGGCCATTCTTGCAGGAGTAAGGGGGTATCACATTGTGGTTTTGATTTGCATTTCCCTGATCATTAGTGATGCTGAGCATTTTTTCATAGGTTTGATGTCCATTTGTATATCTTCTTTTGGGAATTGTCTATTCATGTCCTTAGCCCACTTTTTAATGGGATTGTTTGGGGTTTTTTACTGATTTGTTTGAGTTCACTGTAGATTCTGGCTATTAGTCCTTTGTCAGATGTATAGATTGTGAAGATTTTCTCCCACTCTGTGGGTTTTCTGTTTACTCTGCTGACTGTTCCTTTTACCATGCAAAAGCACTTTAGTTTAATTAGGTCCTAGCTATTTATCTTTGTTTTTATTGCATTTGCTTTTGGGTTCTTGGTCATGAAATCCTTGTCTAAGCCAATGTTTAGAAGGGTTTTTCCAACGTTATTATCAAGAATTTTTATAGTTTCAGGTCTTAGGTTTAAGTCCTTAATCCATCTTGAGTTGATTTTTGTGTAAGGTGAGAGATGAGGATCCAGTTTCATTCTCCTACATGTGGCTTGCCAATCATTCCAGCACCATTTGTTGAAAAGGGTGTCCTTTCCCCATTGTACGGTTTTTTTTTTTCTTTTTCTTTTTTGCTTTGTCAGAGATCGGTTAGCTGTCAGTGCTTGGGTTTATTTCTGGTTTCCCTATACTGTTCCATTGGTCTATGTGTCTATTTTTATACCAGTACCATGCTGTTTTGGTGACTATGGCCTGTATAGTATACTTTGAAATCAGGTAGTGTGATGCCTCAAGATTTGTTCTTTTTGCTTAGTCTTGTTTTGGCTATGTCGGTTGTTCTTTGGTTTCATATGAATTTTAGAATTGTCTTTTCTAATTCTGTGAAGAATGATGGTGATATTTTGATGGGGATTGCATTGGATTTGTAGATTGCTTTTGCTAGTATGGTCATTTTCATAATATTCGTTCTACCCATCCATGAGCATGGGATATGTTTCCATTTGTTTGTGTCATCTATGATTTCTTTCAGCAGTGTTTTATAGTTTTCTTTGTAGAGGTTTCTTGACTCCTTGGTTAGGTATATTCCTAAATTTTTTTTATTTTTTATTTTTTTGCAGCTATTGTAAAAGGAGTTGAGTTCTTGATTTGATTCTCTGCTTGCTGTTGGTGTATAGAAGAGCTATTGATTTGTGTAGATTAACCTTGTATCTGGAAACTTTGCTGAATTCTTTTATCAGTTCTGGGAGCTTTCTGGAGGAGTCTTTAGAGTTTTCAAGGTAAATGATCATATCATCAGCAAACAGTGTCAGTTTGACTTCCTCTTTACCAATTTGGATGCCCTTTATTTCTTTCTCTTGTCTGATTGCTCTGGCTAGGAGTTCCAGTACTATGTTGAAAGGGAGTGGTAAGAGTGGGCATCCTTGTTTTATTCCAGTTCTCAGAGGGAATGCTTTCAGCTTTTCCCCATTCAGTATTGTGTTGGTTGTGGATTTGCCATAGATGGCTTCTATTACATTAAGGTATGTCCCTTGTATGCTGATTTTGCTGAGAGTTTTAATCATAAAGCGATGCTGGATTTTGTCTAATGCTTTTTCTGCATCTATTGAGATGATCATGTGATTTTTGTTTTTAATTCTGTTTATGTGGTGTATCACATTTATTGACTTGTGTATGTTAAACCATCCCTGCATCCCTGGTATGAAACCCACTTAATCATGGAGAATTATCTTTTTGATATGTTATTGGATTCAGTTAGGTAGTATTTTGTTAAGAATTTTAGCATCTATGTTTATCAAGGATATTGGTTTTCTTTTTTGTTATGTCCTTTCCTGGTTTTGGTATTAGGGTGATGCTGGCTCCATAGAATGAATTAGGGAGGGTTTCTTCTTTCTCTGTCATGTGGAATAGTGTCAAAAGCATTGGTATCAATTCTTCTTTGAATATCTGGTAGAATTCTGCTGTGAATCCATCTGGTCCTGGACTTTTTTGTCCATAATTTTTTAATTACTATTTCAATCTCACTGTTTGTTATTGGTCTGTTCAGGTTATCTAATTCTTCCTGATTTAAGCAAGGAGGGTTGTATTTTCCCAGGAATTTATCCATCTCTTCTAGATTTTCTAGGTAATGTGTGTAAAGGTGTTCATAATAGCTTTGAATGATCGTTTATACTTGAGTGGTGTTAGATATAATATCTCTTGCTTCATTTTTTAGTGAGTTTATTTGGATTTTCTCTCTTCTTGGTTAATCTTGTTAATGGTCTGTCAATTTTATTTATCTTTTCAAAGAGCCAGCTTTTTGTTTCATTTATCTTTTGTATTGTTTTTGTTTCAACTTCATTTAGATGTGCTCTGATCTTGGTAATTTTCTTTCTTCTGCTGGGTCTGGGTTTGGTTTGTTCTTGTTTCTCTAGTTCTTTGAGGGGTGACCTTAGAATGTCAGTTTGTGCTCTTTCAGTCTTTTTGATATAGGCTTTTAGGGCTATGTACTTTCCTCTTAGCATTGCCTTTGCTTTATCCCAAAGGTTTTGGTAGGCTGTGTCATTATTGTCATTCAATTTGAAGAAATTTTATTTCCATCTTGATTTTGACTCAATGCTCATTCAGGAGCAGAATATTTAATTTCCATGTTTTTGAAGGTTGCTTTTGTAGTTGATTTCCAGTTTCATTCCACTGTGCTCTGAGAGAGTGCTTGATATAATTTCAATTTTTTTAATGTATTAAGGCTCATTTGGCCTAATACATGGTCTGTCTTGGAGAAAGTTCTATGTGCTGTTGAATAGAATGTGTATTCTGCAGTTGTTGGATGAAATGGTCTATACATATCTGTTAAGTCCATTTGTTCCAAGGTACAATTTAAATCCATTGTTTCTTTGTTGACTTTCTATCCTGATGACTTGTCTCATGCTGTCAGTGGAGTACTGAAGTCCCCCAGTATTATTGTGTTGCTATCTCATTTCTTAGGTCTATTAGTAATTGTTTTATAAATTTGGGAGCTCCAGTGTTAGGTGCATATATGTTTAAGATTGTGATCTTTTCCTGTTGGATAAGGCCTTTTACCATTTTATAATGTCCCTCTTTGTCTCCTTTAACTGCTGTTGCTTTAAAGTCTGTTGTGTCTGACACAAGAATAGCTACCCCTGCTCACTTTTGGTGTCCATTTGCATGAAATGCCTTTTTTCCACCCCTTTAAGTTTATGTGAGTCCTTATGTGTTAGGTGAGCCTCCTGAAGGCAGCAGATAGTCGGTTGGTGAGTTCTTATCCATTCTGTTGTTCTGTATCTTTTATGTGGAGCATTTAGGCCATTTACATTCAATATTGGTATTGAAATGAGAGATACCATTGCATTCATCATGCTCTTTATTGCCTGTGTACTTTGGTTTTTTGGTTTTGCTTTTTAACATGTATTTTTCTTTTATAGGTCCTATGGGATTTATGCTTTAAAGAGGTTCTGTTTTGATTTGTTTCCAGGATTTGTTTCAAGATTTAGAGCTCCTTTTTAGCAGTTCTTGTAGTGGTGGCTTGGTAGTGTCGAATTCTCTCAGCATTTGTTTGTCTGAAAATGACAGTATTTTTCCTTCATATATGATGTTTAGTTTCACCAGATACAAAATTCTTTGCTGATAATTTTATTTGAGGAAGCTGAAGATAGGGCCCCAATCCTTTCTGTTCTGTAAGGTTTCTGCCAAGAAATCTACTGTTAATCTGATAGGTTTTCCTTTAAAGGTTACCTGGTGTTTCTATCTCCTAGCTCTTAAGATTCTTTCCTTCATCTTAACTTTGGATAACCTGATGACAACATGCTTAGGCAATGATCTTTTTGCAAAAAATTTCCCATGTGTTCTTTGTGCTTCTTGTATTCGGATGTCTAGGTCTCTAGCAACGCTGGGGAAGTATTCCTTGATTAGTCCCCCAACTATGTTTTCCAAGCTGTTAGAATTCTCTTCTTCATCAGGAACACGGATTATTCTTAGGTTTGGTCATTTAACACAATCCCAGACTTCTTGGAGGCTTTGTTCATATTTTTTTATTCTTTTTCTTTGTCTTTGTCAGATTGAGTTAATTTGAAGACCTTGTCTTCAAGCTCTGAATTTCTTTCTTTTTCTTGTTCAATTGTATTGCTGAGACTTCCCAGAACATTTTGCATTTCTAAAAATTGTCCAAACTTCCCTGAATTTTTTATTGTTTTTTCTTTAAGCTATCTATTTCCTTGAATATTTCTCCCTTCACTTCTTATATCATTTTTTTTTGTTTCTTTGCATTGGGCTTTGCCTTTCTCTGGTGCCTTTCTGATTGGCTTAATAACTAACCTCCTGAATTCTTTTTGAGGTAAATCAGAGATTTCTTCTTGGTTTGGATCCACTGCTGGTGAATAGTGTGGTATTTTGGTGGTGTTGAAGAGCCTTGTTTTGTCATATTACCAGGGTTGGTTTTCTGGTTCCTTCTCATTTGGGCAGGCTCTGTCAGAGCAATGGTCTAAGGCTGATGGCTGTTGTGCAGATTCTTTTGTCCCACAGGGTGTTCCCTTGATATAGTACTCTCCCCCTTTTCCTATGGATGTGGCTTCCTGTGAGCTGAACTGCAGTGATTGCTGTCTCTCTTCAGGGTGTAGCCACCCAGATAGTCTACCCAGCTCTGGGCTGGTACTGGGGGTTGTCTGCACAGAGTCCTGTGATTTGAACCATCTGTGGGTCTCTCAGCCATGGATACAAATGCCTGTTCTGGAGGAGGTGGCAGGGGGGTGCAATGGACTCCATGAGGGTTCTTAGATTTGGTGATTTAATGCTCTATTTATTTTTGTGCTCTTTGGCCTCCTGCCAGGAGGTGGTTCTTTCCAGAAAGCATCAGCTGTAGTAGTATGGTGAGAGACAGGCAGTGGGCGGGGCCCTAGAACTCTCAAGATTATATGCCCTTTGTCTTCTGCTACCAGGGTGGGTAGGGAAGGACCATCAGTTGGGGCAGGGTTAGGTGTGTCTGAGCTCAGGCTCTCCTTAGACTTGAGCTTAGGCAAGTCTTGCTGGGGCTACTGTGGGGATTGGGGGTGAGATTCCCAGGTCACAAGAGTTGTGTACCTAGGAAGATTATGGCTGCCTCTGCTGAGTGATGCATGTTGTCAGGGAAGTGGGGGAAAGCCAGCAGTCACAGGCCTTACCCAGCTCCCACACAAACCAGAGGGCTGGTCTCACTCCCACCATCCACACCCCCACCAATAACCCCAAGTCTGTTTCCAGGCAGAGGGCAAGACGGGCTTGAAAATTTGCTTCAGGCTACCCACCTCCCAGCTGCGTAAGAAAAGGGCTGGTTCTTCCCCCGCCTGTGGAGTCCGCACATCAGATTTGCACCTCCCCCTGAGTTCTGGCCAGGAAGCTTCTTGCCCTGTTCAAATTGTTACAAAGTTCAGCTAGAGATTTCCTTCTCCCTGTGGAGTTTTACCCCTTGCTCCTCTGGCCACCCTCCTGATGGATCCCTGTGGTGCCAAACAGGAATGGCCTGCTTGGGGACGCAGCGAGCTCCCAGGGCCTTTCTGCTGGTTCCTCTACCCCTGTATTTCGCTCAGCTCTCTAAATGCACTCAGCTTCGGGTAAAGTCAGAAACTTCTCCTGCAAAGAGAAACCTACAGTTTCTCCAGTAGGGGTGTGTGTTCGGAAGAGAAGGGTATCCCTTTCCCACTTCTGCAGTTGGGGCACTCACAGTATTTGGGGTATCTTCCAAGTCCTGCAGGAGCAGTCTGCTTCCTTCAGAGGGTCTATGGGTCTTCTCGAGATTGCTGGTTTGTTCTTGCAGTCGATCTGGAGCTAAAATTCACAACGTAAGTCTTGGCATGTTGCTCTGTTGGAGCTGCAATCTAGTTCTGCCTCCCACCTGCCATGATGATCCCCCAATCTTTTCTGCATAGTTAGTGTTTTATTCTTTGAAGAATGCTTCTAAAACATCACATTAAGTCAAGTTGAAAGGTAAAGTTCAAAATCGACAGTTTTTAAAGGTTAAGTTATAAGATATGTAATGACTGTTCACTCTTCAAAATCTTAAAATGGTTAAAATGATTGAATACCCATCAATCCATTGGGCAAATTGGAACATGTGGTAAATACAATTCTTTATCCACACATCAGGTTTACTATTATTTGCAGGTGAAGGTAGTTGGAAACATCTTATATATAATTATTTCACTTGAAGGATGTCAATTTATGCAATGATGTGGGGGTGCCAGTGTGAAGTGATTGCATAAATTAGGAAATAGGGACTCAAAAGTTCTGGTTCAGCCTACACAACATAGCAAAACCCTGTCTCTTCAAAATTAAAAAAAAAATTTACTGGACATTATGGCATGCACCAGTAGTCCAAGCTACTCAGGAAGCTGGGGCGAGAGGATTGCTTGAGCTCAGGAGGTTGGGGTTGCAGTGAGCTACGATCGCTGATCGCACCAGCCTGGGTGACAGAGCAAGACCCTGTCTCTTAAAAAGAAAAACAACAACAAAACAAGTTATGGCTTTAAATTTTTATCAGTTTCATCTTCAATTATCAGGGCCCTGAGTAAAAAATGCCAACACGTGATAACATGTAAATAATGTACCCGCCCACAGTGCTCTTACTGTATGATTTTATATCCCTTTTATAAATGCCATAAGCATCTGGAAATAAGGGAAAAGTGATTTTAAGGATGTTACTATGTGCTCCAGCTTTTTGAAGTTGTTAATATATGTTTACATTTTAACACATTTTTCCTATAAACTCATCTTGCTTTCTCAACTGTAGCAATTCCCACAAGAACATGTTGACTCCAGGGCACAAGGCTTCAAATAATTACTGTATTAGAAGAATTGGCACTGCCCTAGAGGACCAGCATATTCTGTGCAGAATCTTTATTTATAAATACTTCTTTATAAAGAGAAGTAGGAGGATCAGTTTTTGATAAACTCTATTCTTGCAAACAAACCCAAGCCACAGGTTATATGGAGAACACAATAGAACAACTCCATGATGAGGATCTGCCACCATCAAAAACAAAAATACTTCTCCTGAGTTCCCATCTCAAACAATATTGAAACAAATATAAGGGGTGAGCACTTTGAATTAAGCATTATTGAGCAGGCACATACTATACAAGGGAAGGATCACAGTTAACTATTTAAACTTGGGGCCCAGATATGTTAGCTGAGTGATGACGGAGCATAGCTATTAGTGTTCATGATTAGTCTTTAAAAATTGTTAATCAGAGACCTCAGTGCCTTCAAAGAGACAAATGTCTTCTTTGAGCATGTTTAGTTTTCAACGTCATTTTTAGGCCTATAAACAGGATAATCTTCTTTCCAGTTTTCTCCAAAAGAGCTTTAAAAAACCTTTAAAGTCTTGCGGAAACCATAAAACTTCTCTAAGCCTGTTTCCTATACCTGTAGAATGGGTAGAATAACACTCCCATGTGTAGGAAAAGTCTGCTGGTATAGTTGGGTGTCATTCACAATGAAGGCCAGATTACTCACAACAAAGAGGGTCAGGCAAGTGGAACGGAAAGCAATGAAGCAGGCACCAGCCCCATTCACTAGCAAGGTCTGGTAATTGGCCAGGAAGAGAGGTTTGCATGCAATTGGATCCTGGACCAGAATAGATGTCCTAGCGTTACAGGAAAGGGGTCCTGATCCAGACCCCAAAAGACCATTCTTGAATCTTGCCCAAGAAAGAATTCAGGGCCAGTCCCTAGAGGAAAGTGAAAGCAAGTTTATTAGGAAAGTAAAGGAATAAAAGAATGGCTACTTCATAGACAGAGTAGCCCTGAGGGGTCTGGTTGCCCATTTTTATGGTTATTGCTTGATGATATGCTAAACAATGGGTGGATTATTTATGCCTCCCCTTTTTAGACCATATAGGGTAACTTCCTGACATTGCCATGGCATTTAAAAACTGTCATGGTGCTGGTGGGAGTGTAGCAGTGAGGATCACCAGAGGTCACTCTCGTCGCCACCTTGGTTTTGGTGGGTTTTAGTTGGCTTCTTTACTGCAACCTGTTTTATCAGCAAGGTCTTTCTGACCTGTATCTTGTGCTGACCTCCTATCTCATCCTGTGATTTAGAATGTCTTAACTGTCTGTGAATGCAGCCCAGTAGGCTCAGTCTCATTTTACCCAGCCCCTATTCAAGATGGAGTTTCTCTGGTTTGAATGCCTCTGACACTAGGACCTTCAATACAGAAGCCACATTTTAAAATTGGCAGTTGTGCTCTGAGGCAAGTTGTGATGTACAGAACAACAAAAGTAACCAGGTTATAGCACTAAGTAGTTGCTTCCTAGTCAAATATATTGGGAGAAGAAGCTGGATAAGAATCAATAAGAAGAACGTTTGCTTGGAGGAGAAAATCTGACCTGTAGAGGGGAGATTAGTCACAACAGCCTCAGTCAGTGTCCAAATCTACACAGCACCAGCCTTGAACCCAGAATGTAGGCTAAATGCAGGTGGACCTAATGAAATTGTCAGTGGGTCTAAATAGAAACATATGTCATTTTCTGTCTTCGCTCAATCTCTCCCTCTCTATTCTCTTCTTTCCTTCTTTTTCTCATTCTTTCTTCCTTTTTTTCCTTCCTTCTTGCCTTTGATGGGGTCAAGGACATGCCACCCCAAAAATAACTGTAGAAGACCAGAATATGCCAAGTACGCCTCTTCAGCACAAGAATTACTTGAGCTGGCTATTTGAGAAACAGCAGACACAGAAGAAGCTCTAAAAAATCACTCTTTTAAAAAAGAAATTTATATCTATAAAGGAAATCTCCATTTGTAAGGATGTCTCTCTCTCTCTGTACCAGGAAGAGAAACATGACTAAATCACTAGAGACTCTTAGTCAATGAAGACAGCACCGATTTAAATCTGCATAACAAGCCTTACCCTTGTTTCACAGTGCTTTTCCTGCTTCAGAGATCAATGGGATTTAAGATGTCTAAGACAACTCTTTGGGATCTACTCTAGATATCTACTCATTTCTCTGGGTTATCTCCCATGTATACAGGATATATACATGTTATTAAATTTCTGATGTTTTTTCTGTTATTAATCTTTTTTTTGCTGGGAGTCCCAGATGAGAACTCATGAAAAGTGAAAGAGAAAATTATTTTTCCTCCCCTACGCCTTCTTTTCTTCCTTCCTTCCTTTTTCCCTACATATTCGCTGGAGTTCAGAGGAAGTGCACAGCTGCTTTAGGCAACTGACTGAGACGTATCAGTTTTACAAGAGGAAATGTTTCGGGGGCTGGTGTAGAGGCATGCACAGTGACATGTGGGTGGATATCTAAAATTATATAAACCAGAGTAAAATAAAAGGCTCTGTGAGGCCATCTACCTAAATACTGAAAATAAGCAATAAACTTCCTCAATGCAGGTAAAGGGAATTAAAATTCATTTACAGCAGTCGGATAGATGATATGAGCAGAAACAGAACACAGTGAATTTAGAGCTCACTTCAATAACTGTGAAGATTTTACTACATCAGTTCTTACAGTGAGCTTATCTGCTTTTTACAGATGTGGGACTTAAAGAAATTTGATAAACTTCCTTTCTAGGCTGTATATTAAAGAGAAGGATATTTCTTTTACTATAGGCAAAGTATGAAAAGGAATATTCAAATGTTGTATACATATATATAGATGCGTGTGCATGTGGTGTGTGTGTGTGTTTGTATGTTGTAAACATATCCTCATCCTTATTCTAAGTTTATCTTAGGAGAGGGCTGCCGCATAGCTTAGCCACACCTCTCACACTTGGCTCCATTGCAATTTTCTTGTTAAATATTTATTCTCTTAAGGAGGGGGGAGTTTGCATATAATGCTGCAAGAAGGAGCCAACTGGTGAGTGGCATTGTCCTCAGGGACAAATGAGCTTCGCCAGTGACTTGCAGAAAGATGTTTCAACTGTTAAGGGGAAATCCAAGCTCTGTAAAATATTTTGAAGAGGTTTATTCCCAGCCAGTATGAGTGACCATGGCCCAGGAAACACAGTCTCAAGAGGTCCTGAGAAAGTAGACCCATGGCAGTCAGATAACAGTTTGGTTTTATGCATTTTAGGGAAGCAAGAGCAATGGCAAAGGCATAAATCAATACATGGAAGGTAAACATTTGTTCAGCCTGGAAAGGCAGGATGTCTTGAAGCAGGGGGCTTACAGGTTATAGGTAGATTCTGAGATTCTTTAATTTGCTTTAGGATAAAGGAGTAAAGCTTTGTCTAAACTTAGACTCTAAAGACTTGAAGTCAGTACAAAGGACTGCTTAAGTTAAGACAAAAGGGGGTCTCCTAGCTGTCATGTGATGCTATAGCACAGGTTGGAAAGTAAGCCACATTATACCAGGTTAATTTCTAAAAGTCAGATTTTATGGTTTGTAGAGGGTGACTTAACCCTTGCCTTGTATGGCTTTAGGTCTTATTTATAATTTGGTATTTTATTGCCACAAAGAGTCTGTCCTGAAACTTTTATAATCTCTATTTTGACATTAATGTTGGTCAGTTGTGTCTAAACTCCAAAAGAGAGGCTATATAATGAGGCATGTCCAACCTGCCTTCCTGTCATGGCCAAGAATTCAGTTTTCCAGGCCACCCCGAGCCAAGAAGAAATCTGTGCAGTTAGCTGGGGGCACTTGGGGTTTTATTTTTATTTTATATAGCCCAGAATTGTAGCTACCCTTCAGTAACTTAACTGCAGGTGAGTTCACAGTAACTTATGAACTAAACCTAGGAGTTTATGAAACAAGCCCTTGAAAATGCTGTACAGCTCAGTGGGACCCAGTCCCATGCTAACTGCTGATGTGTTTGAGACATGCTCCTAGTTACCAGGATTTGTGGGTCTCAAACTTTCTGACAGGCAGAATGAGAGAGGCAGAAGGGAGTGAACTATGTGGATCCCACCAGGTCCTGACTGTCATTTATCAAAATCTTAAAACTACACTGGTGATGAAAATCAGAGCTCTTGTTTATAAAGAAGACGGAAGATCACAGGTAAGAAAGGAGACTGATAGCTTCAGCTTCTCTTAAGTGCTCACACCAGGTAAATCTGGCTACATGGCTAACTTTATGCAGAACAGAACTCATTTATCCAGTATAAAAGAAATTTCCATGCAGAGTTACAGAAACTGAATGCCACATTTCTAAGCAAAGCACCGTTCCTTAGGGCACTGTGGATTAGCCTTTCCATGCTAACAGGCATGGATGGAGACAATTTCTTTAGCAGTCCCACAGTGTATTGAAAATTCAATACAATAATTTCCCAACACACACACTGACACACACACACACACTCACATTCCTCTGGGCATTTGATGACTATTTCAGGAGATTATATAAATAATAGCAGCCCCTACTCACCCCAAAGGTATCAGGACCTTGGCATACATCACCTCTTATATTCTCATGATGACAAGAGTGTGAGACATTGTAATCACCCCCATTTCTCAGATAGGAAACCTGAGGCTTAAGGCCAAAGTCATGCAGCAGCAAGAGGTGAAGCCAATATTAAGAGAAGGTCTATATTGATGCAGGATTTTTCTCAGCCCCTTTGCTGGACTCACAGTATGGGTGGCCAGACTACTCAGCTCACCACACTCAGCCCCCTGCAGGAGGAAGCATGTGAGCAAGTGAGTGCAGGATCCGGCCAGGCACTCTGAGCACTAACACAGCAGCAAGCTCCCTACAGGGCTTGCGGCCAGACCAGGCATGTCACCTCATGGGGAACGTGGTGGCACCCAGGCAAGGCTGCCCACAACCCCAAAGCCCCAAAAGGGGCGTTAGTGTGCCAATTAGCTCTTTTAGTTCCACCATCCACAGCCCAATGGACAGTGGTATGTTAGCAGCTCCGTGGGCCCTTGGCCCCATCACGTGGGGTGACTGCCCTCCATCAGCAAGGGAAAAGGGCCAGGATGACAGCCTTTCTGAGTACCTGCACACAGTGGGTCCTGAGCTCTTGTCCAGCATCCAAGAAGAATGAGGTCACGCTGACAAACTGAAGGACAATGAAGGAGGATAATTTTATTGAGTGATGAAAACAGCTCCCAGCAGAGAGGGGAGCTGGAAAGGGGATGGGAAGGGCAAGTCATCTTCTCCAAAGTCAGGAGGTCTCTTCCTTGAAGTCAGGCCTCTCTCTCTAACAACTGAGTCTGGGGTCTTTATAGGCCCAGGATGGGGGTGGTGTGGGCTGTAGGTAGTATTGGAAAAGGCAAAATCTGATTAATCAAAAGGCATTATTCAGAAAGAATCAATCAGGAGAGAGCAAGCAAACAGGAATAGAAGTTCTCACTCTGGGCCACGGTTTTCAGGCTGTTTTTTGCTTGAAGGTGGGATTTCACCAGGGACCCACCCCCATCTGCCTAGGATTTCTCTGCCTCCTGCCTCTATTAATATGATGTGTGCTTCCAACTGCTATCCTCTCCAGGTTGCCTAATATTCATGGTAAGTATACCTTTAATTTTGCCAAAGAAGACACTAGCATAGCTACCATGTAGGTTATTCCAACCTGCCTACATCCAATTCAATAGATTAATCAAACTGGAAGAAAAGCAAAACTAAGAAAAACTTTTACGGAAACCATAAGAATTGAGATTCTACTCAAATGAATGTCATGAAAATGACTCATCCCATTCTCTATTCCTATAACTAGTTCTCTAGCTCTTAATATTGGGTCTAGTTTCCATTTGCTGAGGTTACACTTCATTACACAGAATTCCTTAAAAATAAAAACATCAAACTTCAAAGCAGAACTTGTTTTCTGACCTATTTTTGGTAATCACTGAAGACAATGAGGTTTCTGTTCATCTCCCTCTCCTTGATGTTCTTTCTTTGTGATTACCCCCATCTTTTGTAATTCATTACACCCCAAGGCAATTACTGCATTTTGTGAAATGCACAGCTTTAAAAGAAATTTCCATGCAGTTACAGAAACTGAATGCCACATTTCTAAGCAAAGCACCCTTCCTTAGGGCACTGTGGATTAGCCTTTCCATGCTAACAGGCATGGATGGAGACAATTTCTTTAGCAGTCCCACAGTGTATTGAAAATTCCCTGAACACAATTGTTCTTTTTAAACTAGGCCTTTGGTGGCTGCCTAAGATAAGTTACATCTATGTTTCTCTGCCTCTAAACCCAGCTGTTGCTCATTTAGTCGCTTAGCTGAGGAGGGCAGCCTCTTCATGGAGATAGAAATTAAACATAGATCAATCTTAAATTTTCTGTAATTGTGAAGTTATATCCCACCTCTAACCAGGACATAGGACAGTTCTGGCCTAAAGCCTTGGACTTTCAGGACTTCCGGGCCAGCCGTCATTTGCCTAAAATCTGTTATTGAACTAAACTGGGGTTCACTCACCTGGCACAGTAAAACCAGATATCCACACTGAGGTTTACAGTGAAAGAAAGGAAGGCCTTTATTTGCAGGGCAAGGAGAATTGGGCAGCTAACACTTAAGTCTTGACCTCCCCAATGGCTTGCAAGTAAGAGTTTTTTAAAGGCAGGGGTAAATTCCAGCAGGAGCTATATGCAAAATCATAAATCAATACACAGAGGTCACACATTGGTTTGGCCAGGTCATAGGTAGATTCCAAGATTTTCTGTTTGCAATTGGTTAAGAAAGGTTTGTTTAAAAATTTGGGGTCACCAGAAAAGAATGTTAGCTCTGGCTCTTGAGTATGATTTCCTCCAGGCCCCTCAGGAAGAAATTTAGGACAAGGAACAGTGGTCAGAGTTGTCTTTGGTTCCCCATTTTCCTGAGATCTATGTGCCTGTGGATCCATTGGGCAGGAGTCCAGCTTTATGAGAAACAACTCAGGGACATATGCTGAGATGTCATCTTTAGTTTTGTAACCACTTGATGGGTTCATCTTGCCCACTGCCCAGATACAGCCGATATATCAAGACAGGGAACTTGCAATAGAGACAGAGTAAAAGACATGTAGAGCTGGCTAAATGGAAGGCTATAGTTGTATTATTACTCAAATCAGCCTACTCAAAAATTTGGTGGTTAGAGATTTTAAATGATAGTTTGGCAGGCAGGAACCTAGGGAATGGGTGCTGCTGAATGTTTGGGAATGCAATTATAGGGGTGTGGAAAATGGTCCTCCTGTGCTGAGTCTGCTTCTGGGTGGCGGCCAAAGGACCAGTTGAGTCTTGAGTCTCAGGTCTGGATGGAAACATCCAGACATCAGAGACCCAAAAGTCTGAAAAGACATCTCAAAAGGCCAATCTTAGGTTCTACAAAATAGTGATGATATTTACAAGAGTAATTGAGAAAGGTACAGATCTTGTGATCTCCAGAACAATGGCTGGTAATGGTTTAACTATGCCTACATCTTAGCAGAATTCAGTCCCCTCTCATAACCCTACACTTGAGGCCTTTTATTAGTTTTATAAAGGCAGTTTTATTTGGGGAAGTACTATTACTGCTTAAACAATAACTAAATTTCTTCCAGAGTTAGCTTGGCCCACTCGCAGGAATGACCAAGGGAAGTTTGGAGGTTAAAGGCAAGATGAAGTTGGTTAGGTCAGATCTCTTTCACTGTCATAGTTTTCTCACTGTTTTAATTTTTGCAAAGGCAATTTCATTTTTTATACAGAACCAAACATCCCACGATTCTAACTTCCTTAGCTATTGTTTTAAGCTACTATTACTTTCTTGCTTATCAAGTTGCTTATTTAATTCTCAGGGCTAGCTAGGTGCCTGAAATTTCCCTTGAAGGAACTCATTTCCCTTATTTTCATGCTTGTGGGGAGGAGGAGTTCAGGCCCCTAGGAGAGGACCCTGCTTCATCTTAAACCTATGCCAACCATGAACAAAGTAATCCAGACTCTCCCCAGCCAACATTGTACTTCAGCATGCGTGGTCAAAAATGTCATGGGGTTTGTTGAAACAGTGAAAATTAAGGGTTTTTTGTCTTGTTTTATTTGACTGAGTTAATGCTTCCAAGAATTGGGTCATAATAAAATTTCTGTGATTTTTCTTAACCAAAGTTTTTATAAGTTGAGCCAAAGATATGTGGCATTGATGGCATTCTGTTAGCTTTATAATACATACTTCATGTAAGAGAAGATAAAAGGGATCGTTAACACCATTTCAATGCTCTTCAAAAGAGAAATAATGAAGAGGTGGTAAGGGAGGACTGGACAATGACCACCCAAAGGAGGATGCTAACATTTCAATTAAGTAATTTAAATATAGCTGTATTGAAGTCAAACTCAAGTATTAACTGAGGAGCCTAAATATTTCCCACTGTCTGACAGAAAACAAGTAACTGAACCTTCCAAAATCTTAAATTTTTTCATCTGTAAAACACAGCTTACAATGCCGTCTCTCAACAGAGAGCTGTTGAGAAGGTTATTTGAAGTCATGTATGTGAAAGTGCTCTGTAAACTGAAGGGTCGCCACAATAGAAGTACAACACAGTCAAGAGGACAGAGCATAATGGAACTTTGTTCTTGTTCTGCCTGTCTAACTGGCTGCAGAAGACTATGCCTTTCTTTCCTTTCTCTTCTGCTTCTTGTCTCCCTCTAAATCCACTGTGTGTGTGTGTATGTGTTTATGTGTTAAAGGAACTCAAAATATTTCACCCCAAACTATACTTCTTTGACATATTTTGAGATGGCTGCTCAGAGAGTCAGCAAACAGAAGTAATCTGGCTAAGCTGTCTTTTGTGGGGAAGATTTACATCTGCAGAAAATCTGCATTAACACAGCTGAGGCCTTCCCTTGTCTGGACCTAGGAAAGATTAACTGAGAGTCTGATATCTTAACGGTCTAAAACAAACATTTACTGTCTATTCCCTTTGAGGGCTGCAACCTCAAAGATTCCATCTACATAATAAGACCACTTTGCTAGCCAAGCCTCCTCTTCTCTCCCTTCCATAACCTGTCTTGCTACTATAACCTGATTTAGCACCTTAACTTTTTTTGGCCATCTTCTGAGCCCTCCTTTTTTCTGCAACCTCAAAATGGTATATAAGCTCCTGAACACTCCTGGAGGTAGGGGAAAGCACTCTGTGGCTCTCCCTCATGTGCATGGTAACAAATGTGTTTCTCCAAATAACCTCCTTTGTGAGTTGGTGCATGTGTATGTGTGTGTGTGTGTGGTGTGTATGTATTGCACTGCTCAACCACATCTATTTCATAATCTTGCTGCCCCACACTATCTTTCTTGGTAGTATTCAGCTTTGACTTCTCCTGAGTTAGGCTGCCTTTGCCTGTGCACCTACCATCAGTGAATTCCTTTGCTTACCTTCTCAAACTCCACTCTCCTTTCCTCTTGTAGTATAAGCTGATCCTCTGCCATCTCCTTTGCTAACAACTCTTAATTACCCTGAACTCTTAATATTGGAGGATATTAGCCCCAGTTGTTAAACATTTGCCTTCCTCTAGCCCCATACCTTTCTGGGTGATCTCTTTCTCCAAGGTAGTTTGAAATACTTTCCGTATGCCAATTACTCTTGCTTCATTGTGTCCCCTAAACACTAGACTGTAGACACAGCTATTCAACTTGTACTGGTTTTCTAGAGCTGCCGTAGCAAAATACCACACAATGGGTGGCTTAAACAACAGAAATTTATTCTTTTACAGTTCTGAAGGCTGGAAGTTTGAGATCAAGGTGCCGGCAGGGTTGGTTTCTCCTTTGGCCCCTCTCCTTGGCTTGCCTTCTCCTTGTGTCTTCACATGGTCTTCCCTCTCTGTGTGCCTGAGTCCTAATCTCCTCTTCTTATAAAGACACCAGTCATATTGGATTAGGGGCTGCCCATATGACCTCATTTTAACTTAACCACCTCTTATAAGATTCCATCTCCAAATACACTCACATTCTGCAGTACTAGGGCATTAGGACTTTAGTCTATCAATTTGAGGAGTACACAATTCAGCCCATCACACAAGTAGACACTCGATTCCTCTGCTGGAATGAATGATGGTCATCTTAAACTTAACATGGCCAAAACTGATCACATCCCACTCCACCCCCTCCCCCACCTCCAAAAACTTGCTTTTCTCTCAGTGTCCCCATCTTCATTCAGTCTCTGTTCAATGTCTCCTCCTATCTAATACATTGAATAGAGACTATCAGCTACTCTCTAGTCCCATCATGTTATATATTGATATGTTTATTGTCTGTCTCCCACTAGAATATATGCAGGGTAGGGATTTTGTTGTGTTCTTTGCCTCATCTCCAGTGCTTGGAATCATTAACTAATATATAATAGTTACTTAATAACTAGTTCTGAATAAATAAATATAATGAACACAATAACTTTATTCAACAGGTATATTAATGTCTCCATTTAACAGGTGAGGAAATAAAATTCAGGGAAAATAAGTAACTTTCTGTGGGTCACAGAGCTCATAAGGAATGAAGCTGATTTAAACCCAGGTAATATGAATCCAGGCTAATAAGCAATAATATTCCAGTGTGGAAAATGTTATTTCAGCAAGAGCATGGGGTATATTATAGCGCTTAGGAAAGGAATCTAACTTAGGAGTTAAAATGGGAGACTACCAGGTAAAGAAGTAAGGTAGAAGAAAGCCCCAGGCTGAGGCAACCTCACACATGCAAGTGAGATGAGATGCTAAAGCAGTTTGGTGCTCAGTAAATAGTCAAATGAATGAATGAATATGCCGTTACTATATTGTATAAACCTAGAGAAACCAGAGCACATTATCCCAGTCTGATAATGAAGCTGTCAGAATTAACCACTCCAGGCCAAATATATTATGGTACCAGTGCTGGTCAACGAGGCCACAACTATAATTAAGATCTAGTTCTAACTTCATTAGAGCCATAGGGAAATGGTAAAGTTAGCAGGAATTTGCAGTATGTTTCAGACCTATAAGACTCTATGAGGAATTTATAACTCACTAATGGAGGCAATCAAAATTCAAATCCTTTACAATTCATAGCAGAAAAGTAACAGATACAGAACCGCATATATAAAGGAAAAAGTGATATCCTAAAACCAATTAAACCTGCGTTATTTAAACTTGAATAATTTTTACTTCACCAAAAGAGCCCATTTTAGTATTCATTATGTTAATTTGACAATGAAAACCCGTTTGTGACATTAAATAAAATAATTAGTAGAATTTTGAAAGTTAGTCAAGATTTGGATGGCCAGAAAAGTTGAGAAATTAACTCCTGGGGTGTTCCCCTCTCTGATATAATGTTACCAAGGGTTAGGATTCTCATTTAGGACTGCCAGTTGCACCTAGAGTTGAAGTTACTTAGCATATACATCCTATCACCAGCCTATGCTGAAGTGCTGTAAAGTTGATCATAAGTGTTGTAACCCATAGGAGCTGGAGAAGCTGCAGTGTTTTGTCCAATTCCAGACAGGTACTTTGAGAAAAGAAAGCATGCTACTACCTGAACCAAATGATACTGTTAATACCCAAATCCAGCCTAGGGAAAATTATTTATTTAAAAATATGCTATTGTAAGACAATCACTGGACTCCCTGATATCTTTCACATTTATCAATTTGATTCATCAACAATGTTCTTTAGATCCATCTATAGTCCCAGGAAAACTTAAAAATACACTCATGAAAAATGTTTGTCAAATTCTGCACAAAACCCTGTGAAAATATTGACTGGAATGAGACTGAAGTTTCAGATTAACTGGGAAGGGACTGTTATCTCTAGGCTATTGAATCCAACATTTATGATGGTGGTTTGTTTTTCTATATATTCAGTTCTAGTTACATATCCTGGAGCAGTTTCTCAGTCTCTGCACTATTGACATTTGGTGCCAGATAATCCTGTGTTCTCAGTGCATTGCAGGATGTTTAGCAGTATCCCTGATCTCTATCCACCTGATACCAGTAGGACGTCCTACCCAGATGTGACAAGCAAAAATGTCTCTGGATATTATCCAATGTCCCCTGATGGCAAAAATGATCTTCTGTTGAGAACCACTGCTCTAAAGAAACTCTTGTACATATTATCAAGGAGGCATGCACAAAATTATTTATTGCAGCATTATTTGTAATGCAAGATATTAGAAACAACTTAATCATTCATTACTAAGAGTATGAGTCAATAAACCTTGGCTTATTTCTATAACAAAACTATGCAGCAGCAGAAAGTAAAACTGGATAAACTAGATCTGTCTCCTATCTATAAATGTGAATAAATCTTTAAAAACACAATGTCAAATTATAAAAGCAAATTGCATAAGACTAGTATCATGTAGTACTAGTAATCTAAATTTTAAGTACTTCAACCAACATTCTAAATACTCTCAAATAATACTATTTTCTTCTTAAGAGACAGAGTCCAACTCTGTTTTCAGGCTGGACTCAAACTTCTAGGCAACTCTCCCATCTCAGCCTCCCAAACAATACTTTAAATATAGTAAAATAGTTGAAGAGACAAAAAATAAACCATGGTGGGGGGCTTTATCTTTAGTTTTTTCAATGATATTTCTTTATAAACAAAAGTGATATGGAAAATTTATGGCAAAAAATAATGTATTTTATGTCTGGATGGTAGATTAATGCATATCTGTTACATTATTATCTGTACATTTCTGCACACTTGAAGTATTTTATAATAAAAAATACAAAATATAATTATATTTTTGAACAGATCCATGAGCAATCTTTTGAATGACCAATTGAAATTGGAAAGCGTGATGGTTCACTTTAGGTGTCAGCTTGACTGGACTAAGGGATGCCTAGAGAGCTGGTAAAGCACTAATCCTGGGTGTGTCTGTGAAGGTGTTTCTGAAGGAAATGGGGGTAATGTGTATGTGAGTTGGTGGACTGAGTGGAGAAGATCTGTCCTCAATGTAGGCAGGCACCATCTGTCTAATTTCCTAGGGGGTCCAGATAGCAAAAAAAAGAAAAAAAGAAAAGAAAAAGGAAAGGAAAGGTGAATTCACTCTCTCTTACGAATCTGGGACATCCCTCTTCTCTAGCATTTAGACATCAGAACTCCAAGTTCTCCAGCCTTTGGACTCCAGGACTTGCACCAGCACACCTTCCTTCTTCCCACGCCCGTGGGTTCTCAGGTTTTCAGCCTTAGACTGAGAGTTCCACAATAACTTCCCTGGTTCTGAGGTCCTCAGACTTAGACTAAGCCACATTACCAACTTCTCTGGTTCTCCAGCTTACAGGTGGCCTACAGTGAACTCTTCAGCCTTCATAATCATGTGAGCCAATTCCCCTAAAAATCCTGTCTTATATATACATATTGTTTTTCTATTGGTTCTTGCATGATAGATGCACCTGTCAGCAACAACTTAAACATACTCTGAGAATAATCCTACAGGCTAAGAAGAATGCATGTTTGGAGTTCTGAGCTAAGGAATTCATGAGTGACCAACCTGGAGATTCACTCCTAATAGGGAAGACATCTGAACTGCTGGCCCATTCCTTGGCACACAGGCCATACAAGAGACTGAGGCCATTTGTTTTTCGGTTAAATGAAGGTTGCTAGATGGCGGTTGCTAGGTGAAGGTTGCTAAGTAAAAATGCTATGTAAACTTCATGCTTTTTACAAAGGGTGGCAGTTTCTCTGTCCAGCCCACTACTCCTAGACTGCCCTGTACGTAAGTCTTCAATACACTTTATGTCTCATTCACTGGCTCCAGGTCTCTTCTTCAGCCACTCAGACATATTGCCATCCCTGTTGGAGTCAATAGAGGTCTAGCACATCAGTTCTGTCTCTCTGAAGAACGCCGACAAATACAGAATGCTTGTACTTTCTCCAGAGTAATTTGTTTTCAAATGTTTCCTTAGACCTTTTAAACAGTTTCTGAATTCCCCTCAACACTCATTTGTAAACGAGGGCTAAGTATTTGTTTCAAGTCAATATTATTCATCAGTCAATAATGCTAGTGCTGCAAAATTTGCTCATAGACTAGATGCTAGATCTGCCAAAGAAGCCTTTAAATTGTCCAAACAGAAAACACTCTTAATTGACCTTAGTGACATTAAAAGATTCAAACTTTGACAGAGTAGTTAATATTTAAATCATGCCAAGTAATATGCTGCATGCTTAGTTTGGAAGGCTTAGATTGGCAGTGAAGATCATCTCTATCTCTGGGATTAAAAGAACTGGATACTTTGGTTGACCTATAATGGGTTCTGTCGTTACTTTTTACAAATGCTATAGTTTTACAAATGCCCTTCTCCAACTTCAACAAACATAAAGAACTCACAGGTATAATTAGAACTTGGCCCTTTTAGTCAATACTTGTAAATTTATGTTGCCACAGTATCCATTTTGAGTATAGGGTTAATTATCTCATACCAGAAACAGGGCTTAGTCACCTTTGGCACAGTTTCCAGTTCTCCCCCTCCTCCCATGTGGTTGATCTAGATACCTGCCCTATACCTAAGTCTCCCTATGGGACATATATATAAACTACCAGCTTCACTCTACTGACCCCACCCCACAAGGGCTGTGTAGATGTGCCACAGTAAACATTCCTAAGGCCCAGCATGGACTCGCAGGACCTGTATCTGCTTGCTCTCTACCCACCAATTAGAGTTCCCCATTTGAAACCTGCTTGGATAGCACCAAAACTCCAATAAAGACTCCAATAACACCTGGACTCCAATAAAGACCTCTGGTCCATCTCTCTCTCTGGCTCCTGTAGGGGCCAAGGGAAAACTTTACCTTCTACCTCTGAAGGTTTGCAAAAAAAAAAAAAAAAAAAAAAAAAAAAAAAAAAAAAATCAACTCACAAAAGGCAGTTTAATAGGAGAGAAGGCATACAAATGTATAAACATGCACAGGGAGTACCACAGTGATTACCCCAAAACTCAAAACTCAACGGCACTCACAAGCTTATTTACCAGAGGTTACAGAAAGAATGGGGGCTCAGAACATGGCCCAAAACAGGTTAGGGTGGTAAATCAGGTTATATGGCAAGACAGATTATGGGAGGGAGAGAAGAGGAAGCCTGGCTAGCAAAGGTGGTCTTCTTATACAGATGAAGCCTCACAGGTAGCAGCTCTCAGAAAGAATAGATAGTAAATATTTCTTTCAGAGCTTCAAGGTGCCAAGCCTCTCAGCAAGTCTTTCACAGACCCAGACAAGAGAGGGCCTCAGAGAAAGACTGGCTGCATCACTGCAGACTCTTTACTGATGCAAATCTCCCCACAAAAGACTGCTTTGCAAGGCTATTAGTGTTTGCAGACCTTCTGCACAGCCATCTCAAAATATGTCAAAGAAGCATATTTTGGGGTGAAATAAGTTTTGTTTCCCTCACTCCTTCCACCTGGTGCCCCCACAACCTTCCCATTGGCCCTGGCTGATACCCACTTCTCTCTAGAATCTGGAAGTAATACACTGCTTTAGTATTTCATATGTTTTGTTGAGTTGCCTCCTCTTTGTCTCACTGGACTGACACACTTGAACGTAACTTCTTTTCTGGTCAGGGATCTCCTAGGGAGTGGCTATCATGGTAGGAATAAACTGGACACCGGTCAGGCAAGAGCCACAGGGTGTCTGCCAGTGTAAACAAGTACCATGTAAGAGGAACACCTGGTCATGTAGCCAAAACGTAGGCACCAGGCTGCCTGCCAGCAAAGAAGCATCCTGTGAAAGGCACACTGTAACATTCACAAAAAAAAAAAATCCCCTGGATTCCCAGCAAGGCAGGGCTAGAGTTTATGGCCACTCTCAGGAGAGAAATCTTAAGACCAATTAGAAAGGACACAAAACAAAAGAGCTTGATATGGTTTGGTTGTGTCCACACCCAAATCTCATCTTGAATTGTAGCTCCCATAATTCCCATGTGTTGTGGGAGGGCCCCTAGGCGAAGGGAGATAATTGAATCATGGGGGTGGTTTCCTCTATACTGTTCTCATGGTAGCGAGTAAGTCTCATGAGGCCTGACAGTTTTATAAGAGGGAACCTCTTTCACTTGGCTCTCATTTTCTCTTGGCTGTCACCATGTAAGATGTGCCTTCCGCCTTCAGCTATGATTGTGAGGCCTCCCCAGCCACATGGAACTATGAGTCCATTAAACCTCTTTTTCTTTATAAATTACCCAGTCTCATGTGTGTCTTTATTGGTAGTGTGAAAATAGACTAATATATAGCCCTTCACCCAAACAGGCCTTCATCCTTTCATAGGATCTATTTATTATTTTTCACTTTTATCAGATAATTTTCTAAAGAAAAAGCTTTAAAAGGAAGAAATATATTGTATCACACTGAGATTGGCAATTCCTGCAAATTCTGTAGCTATGTCTAAGTCAAAGGTCAATTCAGATGGAAGGCCCAACTTACTTTTCAATTTCTACACTTTTAAAGGGCCATGTGACTTAAAGGGATTCGTTTGACATAGCAAGAAAATGGAAGGTCCAAATGGTGAGAGTATATGATAATCATCATAATTATGATAAAAGCACCATCAACGTATTCTCCAGGAAGATATTTTATATAACCTGAAGAGCTTGGTATAAGAAATACAAAAAGAAAAAATGTTCTCATGTGCTGGTATTCAGGCATTTGAAGCCTATCATATGTCACTGATACAAAATAGCATGTTAGCAGAGTCAAATTCAGAAGTAGATAGTAAATTCTCACTTTAATAATAAAAGTTGAATATATGTATCAAATTCTAGTAACAAGGGCTATGTTCGTTTCTCATTAATAGGCGCTTTCGTTTGTAACATGGTATTTTCTTCAAGATGTCCAAATTGTTTTCCAACTTGAGTTGTTTATTTACCTGTGTTTGAATTAATCTTCTGTACTTAACATTCAGACAATACAATGTACAATGTTCAGAGATTTATGATTCATAATATAAAAGAGACATTTTCCCCATTTGTGTTTAAGCAATTATGACAAAATCACCAGAGAGAGGAATTTCCTCAAGGCCAGAGACCCTATTAAATGGTTACTAATGTGCAGAGATCACCTGAGACACTTGAAAGCCTTAAACTTGACCTAAAAATTACTAACTCTGGAGAGGGCCCAACAGTGTCTCTGACTGAGGAAACTCCACATACATTGTACTGTACTGAAAACAAGGGGATTAAACAGAGTTTTGCTGATTGAATGTTGAGACCTGCAGCCATTTTCCCTGGATTGGTTCCCAAAATGCTGACATTTAGGCTAATATTCTCTAGGCAGGTAATTGAAACTTCATTTCTAAAAAGTCTAAACTGTCCAAGGAAGAGACCTAAAGATACAAATATTGAAAATTCAGTGTGGGGGAAAAAAGGCCCACTCAGGTCACTCTCAGTAAAGCTCATTGTGGACAAGACCCAGTCCAGACATAGAATTTCCAATTACTTCTTAATGCCCAGTTCTTGAATGTGAGCAATCAGTCAGTCATTAGACAAATGAGGAATGTCTCCAATAACAAAAATCACAGGCCAGATAAATAAATTAACTTGGAGGAAACAAAGAATATGCAGGGATGTTCTAAGAATGCACATGTTGGCTGTAGTATGGTAAAGTCAGTGTGGTCACAGAGGAGACAAGAATGAGGTTTGGAAGGAAGAATTTTATTTTACTCTCAGGTCCCAGAGAAGGGGTCAATGCATGCACAAAAAGAAAGCACCTGTCAGTTAGGAGGCAGAAAGCAGAAACAAGGAGAACATCTAGGCCAGAGACTTTACTGGGGTTTCTGCAGGAAAGGCAGGGCAGAGTTAATGGCCTAGGGTTGGTTATTTTGAATAATTCTGGTGGGCTTTGGGTTATAGAGATGGTCTTTACTTTTCTGGTACCTAGCCCTTAGATGATTTAAGGCAGGGGAAATACTGGTTTCATGTGTGAGAGTTAGATAAGAAGGTGGCTGAGAGGTACAGACTCTGGATTTGTAGATTTGTGTCTTAGTCCATTTGTGCTGCTATAACAGAACATCCCAGACTGGGTAACTTATAAATAACAGAAATTTATTTCTCACTGTTCTGGAGACTGGGAAGTCCAAGATCAAGGCACCAGCATCTGGTGAGGCTTTCTTGCTATGTCCTCACATAGCGGGAGGCAGAAGGGCAAAAAGCAGGATGAACCCTCTCATGACACTTTATAAAGGCACCTGATCCTATTCATGAGGGAGGAGCCTTCATGGCCTAATCACGTCTTAGTGGACCACCACTTAATACTATCACATTGGCAACAACTGAATTTTAGAGGGGACACACTCAAATCATAGCATTATATCCCTGCCCGCCCCCCAAATTTATGTCCTTCTCATATACAAAATATACTGATTCTATCACAATGGCCCCAAAAAAGTGTTCACTCATTCCAGCATCAACTTTAAAATCTAAGTACAAAGTCTCATTTAAATCAGATATGGGTGAGACTCAAGGCATAATATATCCTAAGGCAAATTTACTCCCAGCTATGAGCCTGTGAAATCAAAAAAGTTATGTGCTTCCAAAATACAATAGTGGGACAGACATTTCCATTCCAAAAGGGAGAAACAGAAAAGAGGAAAGGAGAAACAGGTCTTAAGTAAGTCCCAAACCCAACAGGGAAAATAAAATTAAATCTTCATGCTTGAGAAAAATCTTCTTTAACTTCCTGTCCTGCCCTCTGGACATGCTGGGGTAGAGATGAGCCCCCAAGGCCTCAGGAAGCCCCATCCCCATGGCTTTGCTGGGTACAGTCCATGCTTCAGTGTTTATGTATTGAAATCTCATGCCTGAGACTTTCTTAGGCTGGTGCTGCATGCTGGTGACTCTACAGGTTGGGAGTCTAGGGGGCAGCCTTACTCTTACAGTTCCACTAGAAATTGCCCTCATGGAGGCTCTCTGCAGTGGCCCTGCTTCCATGGCAGGTCTCTGTCTGGGCCCTGTGGCTGTCTCAGACATCCTTTGAAATCTAGCTGGAGGTAGCCATGCCTCCACAGCTCTTGTACTCTGCTCTTGCACTCTGCACACCATAGCTGCACACCCAGGACTGCACCTGAGTCCACACCCCCAAACCTGTAGAGCCACCAGCATGCAGCACCAGCCTGAGAAAGCCACAGCATGAGATTTTGTTAGCACCATGTGGATGACCCAAGACTCAGTGCTTGCACCCTCTGGAGTGGTGGCCCAAGCCACACCTGGGCCCACTCAAGCCACAGTGGGGATGTTCAAGTAGTAGTGCACTAGAATAGGACAAACAGAGACATGTAGTGGCCCTAGGCAGGGAACCCTGAGGTCCCACAGGCACCTTGGGCCCTTCCCCCATGTATTATTCCATTTTCATGCTGCTGATAAAGACATACCTGAGACCAGGCAATTTACAAAAGAAAGAGGCTTAATGGAGAACTCACAGTTCTATGTGGCTAAAGAAGCCTCATGATCATGGTGAAAGGCAAGGAGGAGCAAGTCACATCTTACATGGATGGCAGCAGGCAAAGAGAGCTTGTGCAGGAAAACTCCCCCTTATAATAACCATCAGATCTTGTGAAACTTACTCACTATCACCAGAACAGCATGGGAAGGACCTGCCCCCATGATTCAATTACCTCCTACCAGGTTCCTTCCCACAACATGTGGGAATTCAAGATGAGATTTGGGTGGGACACAGCAAAACCATATCACCCCAAAACTGTTCTTCTCCCAAGTCCCTAGTATCCTGGGCCTGTGATAGATGTGATAGCCCTAAAGATCTCCAAAATGTCTTTGGAGTCATTCTTCCATGTCTTGATAAATAGCACCTAGCTTCCTTCTATCCATACTAATCTCCTTATCAAATGGTCACTTGGCCACACCCTTAATTTTCTCTCCTAAACACTTAATTCTTTACATGGCCTGGTTGAGAATTTTCCTAATCTTTACATTCTGCTTCCCTTTTAATGATGGATTTCATTTTTAAATTGTTTCTCTCTTCTTGCATTTTACTACAAGCAGTTCAGAGAGGCCATGCAGCGTCTGACCGTTTTGCTGCTTACAGATTTCTTCCGCCAAATATGTTCATTCATGGCTCTTAAGTTCTGTCTCCCATAAAGTCCTAGGACACAAGACACAATTTAGCCAAGTTCTCAGCCACTTTGTAACAAGGATGGCCTTTCCCCAAGTTTCCAATAAGATATTCCGCATTTCCATCTAAGACCTCATCAGAATGATCTTCACTGTCCATATTTCTACCAACATTCTGACCACCACAACTTAGACAATCACTAAGACAACTGAGGCTTTCCCTACGCTCTCCTCCTCTTCTGAGCCCTCACTAGAATTTTCCTTACTATTCCATTTATAGCAATACGTGCTGTTTCCAGCATTCACTTCAAAACTGTTCCAGCCTCTAGCCATTACCCAGTTCCAAAACTGCTTTTGCATTTTTAGGTATTTGTTAACAGCAATGATCCCCTCTTCTGGTACCAATTTCTGTCTTAATCCATGTGTGCCGCTATAACAGAATAGCACAGACAAGTAATTTATAAAGAACAGGAATTTAATTCCCATAGCTCAGGGGCCTGAGAAGTCCAAGATTAAGGCACCAGCATCTGGTGAGGGCTTTCTTGCTGTGTCATCCCATGGCAGAAGGTGAAAGGGCGTGAGAGACAAACATTGTGTCCTCACGTGATAGAAGAGGGGAAGGGCAAAAAGGGATGAACTCCTGTAGTCAAGCCCCTTTATCTGGGAACCTAATACCATTCTCAAGAAAGGAGCCCTCACTGCCTAATCACCTTGTAAAGGCCCACCTTTTAATACTATTGCATTGGCAACATCTAAATTTTAGACAGGACATACTTAAACCATAACAGTTTGTAAATAAAGCAAGTCCTCCCAGCTAAGCCCTTTGCTATCTCTAATAATTGGGTATCCGTGGAACAGTTTCTCTCTAGGTCTTTAAGGCCCTCAAATGCCAGAGCATCAAAACTACAGAAAATAAAAAGATATAGATAATATAATTGTCCCTGTAATGAACACATGTCAAATAGACAAATACAGAATGTAAACACACACACACACACACACACACATACACACACACACAGAGAGAGAGAGAGAATAACACCTCCAGGGGAAAAAATAGCTAACATGAATATTCTCAGAGGTAAGAAGATTCTGTGTACATGAAATACATACTTGAGGCAATAAAAGGGATTATGTCTGTTGATGTTTTCTGATGTTTTTGAAAGCAGTTTCTGTATTTAGAAAATAAATGCAGAAATTTACTTACTTTGCTTTAAATGCCTAGTTTCCAGTTATTAATTGTGTTTCGAACTCTAATTTTTTCTTAAGCTTTTAAAGTCAACTTATTAATCTTATTTAATTTTTACATCTGGCACATTTATAATGTTATACATTCAATTTTAAGAGGCTCTAAATAACATTTGTTTCCATTTACAAACTCAGTAATTAAACACACAACTTTTCAAATTACACTGAGCTTCATCTTAGTTTTATTTTTTCCATGAATTTAAATAATTCTCAGATAATCTACCTGTTAGATTATCTATTGATATATAACAGGTGACTGCTAAGCTTCAAGTAATCATTATGCCCATAAATTATTTCAGCCAGGAACTGGGAAAGGTACAGTGGGGATGACTTTTCTTTACTCCATAATCTCTGGGGGTATCAGCTGGAAAGGACTGAAGGCTAGGAGTGACTCATCTACTAAGAGCAGAAAGCACTGGCAACATCTTTACTCACATATTTGGCTATTGATACCAGCTGTTATCTGGGACCTCAGCTGGAACTATAAACCCAAACACTTACACAAGTCCTCCTTATGGCAGCCTGGGCTTCCTCACAGCATGGCAGCCTCCAACATCTCACCCACCTGGTGGCTCACAGATCCAAAGGCAAATGTCTGGAGAGAACCAAGGAAAAGTTGAATGGCCTTTCTCACCTAGCCTTAGAAGTCACATAGCATCAACACTGCTGTTTTTCCTTGGTTGACCAGGGAAACATTTTTAAACTTTCATAGTATTATATCTATAAATTGAGTGTAACCAAATTTGTCTTAAATGTACCAATCATGTATATAAACTCAGTAAATTTTTAAAAATCCTATCCAAATTAATCACATATGCATTTTCCTGGAAATGCAAGACTGAGACTCAGATGTCTTTCTAACTACATAAGGTAGCAAATATGCATGGGATTCCTTCTTAACATAAGAACAGAGTATGGTTTTGTTCTCTTACTCAAACCATTCTTTATTTAATTCTAAATCTTCCAGGTAAAATATGCATACCATCTGGTTATATAATACAAAAAATTTACATAAAACAGAGATGTTGGAGCCTCCAATATCTAGAGTGATGTAATACTGTGTCCCCTTTATAGTTCCTGTGTCACAGCCTACAAAACTGAATGAAGAATTATTTTTTCAGCTTACATAGACCACTACATTCAAGTTATTCTCATTACTGATTAATCTCACTCATATTGATTGTATGATTGGACATTTCATTTCTTTAACAGTACACTTATTTTTCTTCTAAAACACTAAAAGCCCAAACTTCACCCTATCCAATATATTCAATATACCAAAGCTACACTTGTACCACTTAAATCTATAAAAATAAAATTTTAAAAAGACTTTGAAATAAAACACATAAATGTATTTTCTAATAATAAAGAGCTTTTTACATGACAGGAATTTAATTATACGTACATGTATTTTATATCTAACAAGACCTGTGAACTTGACTAGGACTGCCCTCTTTCATATTCTTAGCACTAAACAACACTTACAACTACTTAGAATGATGTCTAACCAACATAGCTAGGTCTTATTTACTATAATAATTTATAAGGTACTTTTACTAATAATTCAGAAAATAAAAGAGCTCTTAGATATTCAACATGTGATAGAAAAATGAAACAACTGAATAGAAACTTATTTGGGAGGATAAAGTTGAGAAAATCTACCAGAAAGCAAATCAGCAAGACAAAAAGAAGTGCAATTCAGGGAGAAAACATTAGAAAATTAAAGAGCCAGTCAAGAGGTTCAACATTCTAATAAACAATGTTCAAAAAAGAGAAAATGGAAGGTTAAAATCATCAATAAAATCATTTAAGAAACTCCTAAAACTAAAGTCCAGGATCTTATAGTTTCAGATGGCCCAAATGAAATGCCCAAAACAATAGGCAAAAAATAGGCAGATATAAAGGCACATGAACACATTTTCAGAAAAGTGGAAAATATGTCTTAAGAATGATAAACACTAAGAAAAATTCCTATAAGCTTCCTGAGAGAAAGGTCAGGCTCTAAAATATGAAAAATCCAAATAGAAAGAGATATCTATCCCAATAGTACCACCAGAAACTAGAAGACAGTGAAGCAATGCTTTCCAAAGTCTGAGGAAAAATGTTTCCAACCTGGAATCCTCTATCTAATGAAACTGTCACTCTGCTAGGAGGTAGAATAAAGAAATTTTTAAAATATGCAAGATTTCAAAAACTGTATCGTCTGTATTCTCTTTTTATGAAATTTACTAGAAGATATACTTTATTCATATGAGAAAGTAAATCAAATAGAAAATGATATGAGATCTAGGAAATGACAGGCAACATAAGAGAAAGGCAAAAGATGACAGGGAAGCAAGTCTTCAGGATCACAGATGTGCAGTGGCCCTACAGAACAGCCTATATAAATTGGTGGAGGCCAGAAAGCTCTTGGAGAGATATCTCCAAGGGATGGAAATTAATACAGTCCTGGATGGGTCTGGATACATATGAATGTTTACAGAAATGAGAGCATCATGGGGATAAATTAGTTAGTGTTAAGTACATTGTAAAAGTTAGAAACTAAAAAAGCACAAAAACGAGATATTTATCTACTCTAAGGAAACAAAGATAGAGAAGAAGGAAAATTATACTACAAGGTCCAGCTGTGGGTAGCATTTACAGAATAATAATCAAGTAAATGTTTAATATTGATCTAATCAAACCTGTTACTACTTGTTATAACTTGTAACCCCTTCGCCTCCTCCCCTCTCTGCCAGAAAGGACAAAGTTTGATCACAAAAAAATGACTTCAGACCCTAATAAAGCTGGAGACAGGCTGGGCGCCGTAACCGTAATCCCAGCCTGTAACTCCAGCATTTTGGGAGGCTGAGGTGGGCAGATCACCTGAAATCAGGAGTTCGATACCAGCCTGGCCAACATGGTGAAACCCCATCTCTACTAAAAATACAAAAATTAGCCTGGCATGGTGGCGCGCACCTGTACTCCCAGCTACTTGGGAGGCTGAGGTGGAAGGATGGCTTGAACCTGGGAGGTGGAGGTTGTGGTGAGCCGAGATCGCACCACTGCATTCCAGCCTGGGCGACAGAGTAAGACTCGGTCTCAAAAACAAACAAAAACAGCTGGAGACAGCACCAGTGGAATCTACGTAACAAAGTGTACTGACTCAGCTTCATCTCCCATTTATTCACTTTCCCACAGGTTGCTACCCCGAGACTCAAAGTCCTTTTCTTTTGTCTTGTCACTTCTCTGAAAATTTACTGTTCTTTGTTGAAGATGCTGTTTAAGCCTGAGTTCAAAGCCACTTTGAGAGTTGCTCATTGCCTGTGTTTCTCCCATGGATACATGAGGTAAAACTGGTTAATAAACTTTTTTTGTTTTTCTCTTGTTGATCTCTCTCTTGTTACAGGGATCTGTCCCAACTAAGAACTGTGAAGGGTAGAGAGAAAGTTATTTTTTCCTCCCCTACAGGTGCAATTGAATAGATTCCCTTGAGCAACTCAGATTGTTAGCTCTTCCAGGGCTACTCCCAGACACTGAAAGCAGAGTCTTTGTTTTTAGTCTTTGTTTTGTGACTAGTGGTATTAGTAACAGATTTCTTTATTCAGATATCTGATTGTTTCATTCAGAGTAAATATATGCTGTTTCAAATAATCACCATGTATTTTAGCTGTCAGTTATACTCTGATGACTGGAACATCAAAAAGAATGAAACATATATGTTCTTGTTCTCCAGGAACTTACGGTCACAGCTGTAGGAACCAAGAGGAAAGTTCCTTTTGGTTTTCTGAAGGGTTGCTGAAAAATCAACTCACAAAAGGCAGATTAAATGGAGAAAAGACATATAAATTTATTTGACATGTATACACAGGAGACTTGCAGAATGAAGACCCAAAGATACAACAGAAATTGTCAATTTTTATGCTCAGGTTCAACACAGTGTGAACAACCATGCAGAAATATGATTGGACGTAAAGGATATGATCTAATGCTAAGACTGAATGGGGAAACCCAGCAAGGCCTGTCTGTCTAGATTCTTCTAGACTCTCAGAGCATATATTTCTTCCTTCTGGGTGTGGGCCAGGAGCCTCTCTGGAATGGGGGTCTTGTAGCCTACAAACAAACAAGGTAGGCCAGATAATTTCTTTATGGCCAGTGTTCACACAGAAAGTCTAAGGGAACGTTAGATTGTATTTTTAGGTCTTAGGGCTGGCTTTGGGGAAAAGAGGTTCTGGTTTTTATGACCCGCCTTGGGGAAGAGGGATTCTAGTTTCCATGGCTAGCCTTGGCGGAGAATGGGACTGAGACAGGTGGGCGGGAGAAGGCCAGAGAAGAGCTTCCGCTTCTGAGGCTGCTTACAAGGCCTTCATTTGGGGGTATTTTTTTCTCGGCCCCCCAACACAATAAAGGCACAGGGTGAAAACATGAATAAATAAATGACAATGCTCGACAATGAATGAAGCCAAATGACTAAGTGAAGTCACCACTGACACTATATAAGTTTGAAGAGGGGTGAGGTAAGTGGGCCAGGGCAGGGTCATAGAAGGCTTCATAGATGAGCTGGCATTTGGCTAAAATTTCCAAGAGGGAGAGGAGTTCAGTAGATAACGAGCAGAGGAGCAGGCACTCCAGGTGGGGATAAAAGAGTGAGCAGAACCTGGAGGTCTAAAAATTCAATGGGTATTCAGGACAGAGTGAGCAGAAAATTTCATTGAAAAAGACACTAGATAGAATTGGAAAAATGGTTAAGATGAATTGAGGCTCAGAAAACAATACCCCAGATTGAAGGCCTCAGCAGCAGTCTCAGAAGGAAAAGATTTTCTCTGACCTTCTACCGCCCTCCTGTTTCTCTGGCGCATTCTCCCCCAAGGCTAGGGAAACTAGGATCCCTCTTCCCCAAGGCAGGTCATAAAACCAGAACCCCTTTTCCCCAAAGCCAGCCTTAAGACCTAAAAATACTATCTAACTTTCCGTCAGCCTTTCTGTGTAAACACTGGCCATAAAGAAATTATCTGGCCTACCTTGTTTGACTGTAGGTCATAAGACCCCCATTCCAGAGAGTCTCCTGGCCTACACCCAGAAAGAAGAAATCTATGCTCAGAGTGGCCAAGAAGAATCTAGACAGACAGGCCTCGCTGGGTTTCCCCACTCAGTTTTAGCATTACATCATACCCATTTTGTCCAATCATATTTCTATATGACTGTTGAACCTAAGCATAAAATCGGACAATTTCCCCTGTATCTCTCGGTCTTCATTCTGATGGTTCTCATGAATACAGGTTAAATAAATTTGTATGCCTTTTCCTCAGTTAATCGCTTTTTGTTTATTTTTTATTTTTTGAGATGGAGTCTTACTCTGTTGCCCAGGCTGGAGTGTAGCGGCGCTATCTGGGCTCACTGCAACCTCTGCCTCCCATGTTCAAGTGATTCTCCTGCCTCAGCCTCCTGAGTAGCTGAGATTACAGGCACACGCCACTATGCCCAGCTAATTTTTTGTATTTTCAGTAGAGACAGGGTTTTGCATGTTGGCCAGGCTGGTCTCAAATTCCTGACCTCAGGTGATCCACCAGCCTCAGCCTCCCAAAGTGCTGGGATTATAGGCGTGAGCCACTGCACCTGGCCTAATCCGCTTTTTGAGAGCTGATTTTTCAGTGAACCCTCAGAGAGTCTAGGGTCCCTTGGCCCTAAGAGTGCTTCAGGGTCTAGAACTCTCATTTGCATAAAGTAGACACTGAAATATTTGCTAATGGAAGGACTTGAGTGCCAGGTTTGAGCAGGAAAGAGATTTGATCAGTTTGAGTTTTAGGAAGACCTAAAACTGGTCCTGCAGTGAGGAAAGAGTGGAGAGCAGGAAGCAGTTGCCTAGTTTCCTAGGCCTAAGAAGATAGTGTTAACTGACCAAACTGGGATCCACTCACCCAGTGCACCAAAGCCAAACATTGTCATGGGGGTTGCAGTGAGAGAAAGTGAGGCATTTTTTTTTGCAGGGCACCAAGCAAGGAGAATTGGGCAGCTAATGCTTAAGACTCGAACTCCCAGATGGCTTACAGGTAGGAGTTTTTAAAGGCAGAAGGCAGAGCTTACAAGCAAAGTCGTAAGTCAATACATGGAGGCCACACATTGCTTTGACCTAAAGAGGCTTACTTAAGAACTCAAAGTGGGGGCCCATAGGTTATAGGTAGACTTGAAGATTTTCTGATTTGGAATTGGTTAAGGAGGCGAAGCTTTGTCTAAAAATTCAAGATTAGCAGAAAAGGATGTTAGCTGTGGCTCCTGGGTTGTGACATCCTCCAGGCCCCTCAGGAAGAAATTTAGGACAAAGAATGGCAGTCAGAGTCCAGTCCTCAGTTTCCCCTGAGGGGTCTACCTGCCAGTGGATCCATATGGTGGAGGTGTGCATTTCTGAAAAACAGCTCAGGGATGTATGTTAACATATTCTCTTTGGTTTCTACAGGAAACCAAACATTCTTGTGGCTTTCTTGGCTATTGTTTTAAGCTACTATTAACTTCTTGCTTATTAAGTTGCTAATTTACTTCTCAAGGCTACCTCTGTGCCTGGAGTTTCCCTTGAAGAAACTCAACATTTTCATTTACTTCCATGCTTAAGGGAGCTTGCAAGCCCCTAAGAGGGGTCCCTGCTCCATCCAATAGTATCTGAAATAAGAACGTGGCAGTGTGACACAAACAGAAAGAAACAGATGAGTTCATTCTAAGAAATGAATTAATAGGATTTGGCTAAATAAAACAGGAATTTTTCAAAAGATGCTTATTGAAATTAAATGTCAAGGTTAAGAAATGAGGTTTTCAATCCCAGATGTTTTGTCTCTCCCATCTGCCTCCCTTCTCACAGACTGTTGATAAAGAAGGAATTAATTTAGACAAATAAAGAAAATACTGCTCTTTGTTACTTGGGGGTGTTGGTGAGGAGTTTTGAGCTCTGCCTGCACAGAGATGCAGTTCCATTAATGCATCTTAAGAGACAAAAGGCATCCTGCAGGGCATATCTGAAAATTCTTTCCCCTCCTGATTTCCAAGTGAAGGAATTTATATGCCGATAGTTTCCCTTGAGCATTCTTTCTGGTGATGAAAATCCACAGTCAGTATTCTCATTCGAAGCAGACTTTCCCCAAGGCCACACACATCCAGACTGGCAGCCTGAGCGCTGCTGCCCTCTCCCTTCCCCCCTCCCGCAAGGTGCTTTCTCTAAACAAATTACAACTGCAGGAAGGAGGAGATCAGTACTTGGGCACCAGAGGTTCACAATATAAATACCACATACAGCTGACTGAGGCAGTTTGCGTACATGCATCTGCCCCAAATTAAAAATACTTCTGAATGGAATACCACAAATGTCTTTGAAGTTCATTACTGTAGGGAGTTATGTACTGAGGGGGCCTTTCCCTTGTTTATGCAGCATGTCAGGGTCTCAGGGAGAGGCTGAGGGAAGTGAAGTAACGGCTCTGGTTTACATTATGGGATGGTTCGCAGAGATGAAAAGATTCTGTGCATTAAGTCACACTGCTCATGTTATTACCACCAGGGCAGATATGGCAAAGAGTAAATCAAGTTAATCTGCTGGGGCCTTAGGTTATGTATGTGGGGATTATTACAGGAGATAATTTCATGCTCCTGGGAAAGCGCAAGTTTGCAGAGGACTCAATGACCTCCTAGCCTATCCCCCAATCTATGGTTTTCATAAGGTCTTTGCCACATTTTCTCCCTCATTCTCTCATTGTAAAGGTTTAATAATGTCTCTATGTTTATTTAATGAAAAATTTTCTTACATATAGAACACTGGGAAGTTGTAATTGGGAAGATCTCAAAGAAAAAAGTACAACATAGTCTGCGAGAGGGTGACCGACTTATCTCATTTGCAAGCAAGCAAATAGGGACTTAAAGATGTTCAAATTCTAATTGTTTTAAATATTATGCAGACCAAACAAAACTGTTTATGGGTGACACTGTTTCATATGTCTAAAGGTATAGAAACTTCAAAACTAGAGCAGAAGAGCCGTGGTGGTGAAGTCATGAGAGAAATACAGGTGGAGCCAAAAGGATTTTGTACATATTCCTATCCACGACTGTGTTGCTTTATCTTTCTTCTGTGTGCCATGGGGGTTGAAGAGCACACGTTTCAGATGACATTTGTACTCATGGCACTCTGAATCGCATGCTTCTTCAGTCCATTCTCATCTGTTAAGACTTTCCATAATAGTTCTTATGAAAAAATACATCTTTTAAATATATCTATGGCTCTGGCTGAACTCCCTCAATGACCAATTTTATCTGAGAAAATAAAAAATTCTGTATTTCAGTAGAAAGTCTCCTTCATTTGAAAGCACAGCAGGAGAGTTCCTCAAAGCTCCTAGGTTTGTTTTCCCAGCCTATAAAGCTGTCTTAAATACAGTGTGTGCTTCCCTTAAGGGTTTTGTGAAAGTTGGCAAAGATAGTCTTTTGGAAAGACTCTCCTTCTATCTTAAACATTTTCCCACCAAGCTACCTACATAGGCAGGTGAAAATTAATGAGTATCCTTGAGGTATTTGTGTGAAGCTCCAGCAGAGCATACTTAAAAACCTTTGAGACCTCCTTCTTATCATAAAAATTCAACTCAGTTTTTCTCTCTATTCCCTAATATGGTTTTTTTTAATCGATGTGTTCGACTGGTAGGTTAGAGAATTGGCACAGGCCTTTACAGAGGCAAATCATAATTTGGTGTGTGTGGTGGCAGGGGAGAGGTGTGGGAGGTGGTGACAGGAGGAAAGAAATGGGTAAATAGGAAATCCAACCAGAAATGGCCATGGGGAGAACCAGATAATATGCATGTAACTCACACTGAAAAGCTTAGAGTAAAGCCTGATTTATGGTATAATAGTGTCCCCAAAAAAGTTCCAAGCAGACCCAGTCTCACATCCTGACCCTTTTATTGACTCAATTGCACTTCATTTCCTCTATTAGGTTGAAGTACCTTCTACTTGAGTTACGTTAAGTCAAAATATAATTTTTATAAAGTTAAAGACATAATTTCCAAAAAGATATTTAGTGAGCACTTGTCAAAAATTTATTTACCTAATTAATAAAGAAACCACCAGGATGACAAAGCTCATACAAAGATAGGGGAAACTACTATATATAGCCAAAGAAAGTGCTGAAATAAGATTGCTCAGTAAGATGCTAAAATCACAGCCTTTGCTGTGATCTCATCTATAAGACAGAAACGTTTGCATATTTACCAAACAAAATCATTTGCAACTTTTCAATCTTTACCAAGGTAACATCTAATTTTACTGAGTCTGAATCCCAATCAACTGTAAGTCAGGCAATGTTAGATTGCCTACCAGTGCCTCACACATGAGTGTGCATCAGAATCACCTGGAGGGCTTGATAAGAAAGGGTGTTAGATCTAACCCACAGTAGTACACCTAGGGTGAGGCCCAAGAATGGGCATTTCTAACAAGTGCTAGATGGTGCCTCTGCTGCTAGTCCAGGGACCAACTTTGAGAACCACTACCCTAGCCTGATGTTAAAAAGGCTTGCAGTAATATTTCTGCCTTATTTTCAAGTGTCACATATAGCAGAATAAATTGTTAAAGGCTTTTAAATAGACCAATAAGATCATTAGATATCCCTGATAGAAAACCAGGCATTGTCTAATTTCAGATTTTTCTGACTCATTGGGGTTTTCATCTTTCATTGTTTTTGAGCTATTTAGAACTCTGTGATTTGTAGATAACTAGTGGCAATGCAAATGATTCTTGTCTATAGACATGCAAATTAATTTTGTCCAGGTGAAAGGATAATTGATTTCTCTCTCCTACCCTCTACTCTCATCCCTCTGTAAAACATCACTTGTGCATTTATTTGTTAATTCATTTCCTGCATTTCTTTTCTGTATATATGTATATATGCAAATACATACATGGTAACATGTATACACAGATATATTTCTCTGAATTTTCCTTTGAACTGTTTGTCACAACTTATTGTTTCCCTTAATTACTGATTTAAATAAAATCTTTGGTGTATGTTTATTTTATATTACTGTAAGTCATGATAAACCTTGTTTAAAAAATTATCTTTCAAAGGCTACTTCTTTTTAAAAATAATTCCCAAGTTTGGAATTTCACTTTTCGTTCATTCTGTTTTCATTGCAAATAAGTGAATGTCTTCTTCCAGTAGAGTTAGCTTGTGGTTTTTGTATTTCCTAACACTTAACAATCACTTTTAAGATTTAGTCTACTGGGCCACTGACCAGACTGAGATCCTATGGATTCCAGCTGCCTATTTGCTTTAACGAAAACACAGCTGCTCTTACTTTTTAATCCCTCTTTACTGTCATCATTTATCTAAGTCAGTGAATTCATATTTTCTCCTTTCAATTGTATTATTTAGGAGGATAGGTTAGCCATTTCTATTATTCAGGGTGTTAACCTTCACCATTAATTAACAACAGCAAACCCATAAAACATTTGCTACCTGTTTCAAAGCCTGGAAACTCTTTGTTAGACATCTGGAGTGTCAGGAGGAGGCAAGCTGGAGGAGGCAAGCTCGTGTGCCAACTTGGAATCCTTTGAATTTCTAGGGTCAGCAGGAAATCCTAGCTGGCTGGTGGGGTCACAGACAGATATTTTAAACTCTAAGTTCATGACCCTGGATGCTACCCAGCTTCTGATCTGAATTATTTCCTTCCAATAGAGCATCTGTGTTCTATAAGAGGAGCTCAGATTCTCTGCAAGGCCCCGGAAGTCACCCTTCCTGGGCCCCTCAGCTCTGGAATTCATAACAGACCTAAGTTTGACACTCATAGCTCAGTTCTTCCTCGACCCACTCTCAGCCACTACGTTTGGAAGACAAACGAACCACTCAATTCTACCAGAAACTATTGTCCTTGCTTTCTTTATTTCCCAGATGACTATAAAATGCTATAGGTTGTATTATCAGGAATATGGAAGACAGGCTGAATTCAAGTAATTATTTTGTGTAAAAAAAAAAAAAAAGATGCCACTCATTTCACCTGCTTTAGGAAAATGAGGCCCTGAGGTTTTTTGCCAATTGTTTTCTCTAAGTTGTTGCTATGTATGGTGTCTTCCAGATTAACATTTAGCCTCTCTACCCCAAGTACTTATGTTTCATGGAAAATATTCCTAGGATGCCATATTTTAACGAATATCTTAATATACTTTTCAAAGGAGGGTATGCATCACCTTAAAATTTCATTTACATGAAACTTTTCTTTCTTTTTTTTTTTTTTTTTTTTTTTTTGAGATGGAGTCTCGCTCTGTCACCCAGGCTGGAGTGCAGTGGCACGATCTCAGCTCACTGCAAGCTCCGCCTCCCGGGTTCACACCATTCTCCTACCTCAGTCTCCCAAGTAGCTGGGACTACAGGTGCCCGCCACCACGCCCGGCTAATTTTTGTTTTAGTAGAGATGGGGTTTCATGGTGTTAGCCAGGATGGTCTCAATCTCTGACCTTGTGATCCGCCTGCCTTGGCCTCCCAAAGTGCTGGGATTATAGGCGTGAGCCACCGCACCCGGCCCTACACGAAACTTTTCTTAACATTTCCGTAGGACCCAAGAGTCCCTAACTGTAGTCAGGACATCCATGCTCTAACATATCTTCTCAGTCTCGCTTTGCCGTTTCGTCTATGTAGTTACCAAAAGGAAAAGGCAATGATAAAGAAATCTTGCACTGAGTTCCTCAATTTAAATGAGAATTAGAGAATGGAGGTGTGACTTAGATACCAGAATATGTTGCCTCCAATCTTTTAGCTACCTGGGGTCACCTTGACCTTTTAAATTTGTAATCTCCTAATGGGCTCTTCCTGCCCACTGCACAGACAAAATCAATTCACCCAGACCACAACATTGCAGTAGGGAAAGAGTTATTTTTGTTTTGTTTTTGAGATGGCGTTTCACTCTTGTCACCTAGACTAGAGTGCAATGGTGCAATTTCAGCTCACTGCAACCTCCACCTCCCAGGTTCAAGCCATTCTCCTGCCTCAGCCTCCTGAGTAGCTGGGATTACAGGGGCCCACCACCACATCCAGCTAATTTTTGTATTTTTAGTAGAGATGGGGTTTCACCATGCTGGTCAGGCTGGTCTCGAACTCTTGACCTCAGGTGATCCACCTGCCTCGGCCTCCCAAAGTGCTGGGATTACAGGAGTGAGCCACCATGCCCAGCCCAGGAAAGAGTTTAATTGACATGAGCCTGGCCCACATGGGAGAACTGGAATTATAACTCAAATCAGTCTCCCTAAAGGCTGGGAGCTTAGGGATTTATGGACAACTTGGTGGGCAGGGGCTCAGGAATGGGAGTTGCTGATTGGCTGGGGATGAAATCATAGGAGTGTGCGAAATGGTCCTCATGTAGAGTTCACCTCTGGGTGGGGCCACAGGATCAGTTGAGTCATGAGTCATGAGTCATGAGTTCCAGTGGGGTTAGTCTGAAAAACATAGCAACTGGGAAGGTCACAAATCTTGCAACCTCTGGCCACATGAGTCCTGAGCAGTGAGGGACTATAGAAACTACACCTATCTTAATAGAATTCAGGCCCCTGTGGTAATCTTAACCTTGTAGCCTTCCATTAGTTTTACAAAGGTGGTTTAGTTTGGGAAGGGCTATTATCATCTTTGCTTTAAGGTTAAACTATAAACTAAATTCCTCCCAAAGATAGCTTGCCCTATGCCCAGGAATGACTAAGGATGGTGTGGAGGTCAGAAGCAAGATAAAGTCAACCATGTCAGATTTCTCTTACAGTCATAATTTTGCAAAGGCGATTTCAGGTTTATAGAAATATTGGTTCAAACTCCATATATGCAGAGTGGGGAGGGGAAGTGCTGCCAGACAAAATACAGGATTATCCTAAATATTGCCTGGGACTTATTAAATGAAAAAAAATACTTATTGTTTATCTGAATTCAAATTTATTCAGAAATGCTGTATTTCATTTGCTAAATCTGGAAACCCTATGAGGGAATAACTCATTGCACCAATATATCTGGATATCCTCGGAGAGGGGCACAAGCACTGCAGATCATGTCAGGCTCTAATCTACTTAGCTGGCTTCATTCTTATCCTCACTCATCTCCCTCCTTTTTCGTTTGCCCAAAACAGTCTCTTGCCCTTGATTTTTCCAAATCACCACTCAATGCAAGTTATAGCTCTACTGAACATTCAGAAGTGCAAAGGGATGTGGCTTTTGCCTCAGAAAATCACAGCAGTTTTTCAGTCACCCTCACCACTGTCCATTACAGTTACAGTCAAGCATTAATCAGGCACTTTGACATATTTCCTTGTAACTGAAAGTCACTAGATACTGACCATTTGAGTCTCCGTTGTTCCTACAGATGGGATTTCTGGCATTAGAATCATAAAGACTGTTTAAGAGTTGCTTAAGATATTTTTCACATCCCGAATTCCAGCAAAACAGCTGACATCAACCAGTCTGAAAACACAGAGGAACAGAATCAGCATGAGAATATAGCTTCTTCATCTCCCTGTCCCATGAAGTCACCCTACACTTTTCAACCAATCAATGATCACCACACTTTGGTCCACTCCAAACCCTAGACCCAAACTCCTCCAGGAGATAGATTTGAGGTTCCTTCCCATCTCCTCACACAGCAGCCCTACAATTAAACCTCTTTCTCTGGTGCAACCCAGTGTCTCCACGTATTGCCTTGCCTCATGCATTGGGAAACAGATCTATTATGGTTATAGCCTCATCTCTGTCCCTCAATTTTAGCTCCAGTCCCAACCCCCTAAAATCCCACAGATTTCTAGTTTTAGAACATTTTGAATCTAAGCTAACACTGGGGCCACTAGGCTTGCATAAAGGCCTTCATCTACAATACAAACATGTACCTAAATGAAAAGCAGTTACTCTTGAGCTGCATTTCATTATCAGTGCTGAAATTACAATTTTTAATTCCCCTCTATATAGAGGGAGAAATAAATTTTTATAAGGCTTAGAAGAGAAGACTGAAAAAGGTAGAATTTTCATCTTGAAAAAGAGCTGTCTTAGGCACAAATGAGTCAACAGATGTACCAACAGTTAACACAGATGTTAGCAATTAGTTCTCCATCTCTGTTAAACCTGTATCTAGAGGAAAATGGTCAAATTATTGCATGAAAGATTTTGATCACCTGCATCAACAGGTCTCTTGAGCCTGTATATACCAAAGGGATCACATTAAGAGTAATAACTCAACTATTAACATGTGCCTCCTCTCAACATAAAACTTACAGTGAGTAGTCAAAGCATTACACATCCAATTTTCAGACTCTTGAAATGTCTCACTAATTACATCCACTGCTACTTGAGAAAAACTCTCTCCTTTGACCAAAACTTTAGTCAGGCTCCCCTGTGTCCTCTCCCTGACTAGGCTCAACCTTGGGTTTACCTCTGTGTCCTCATAGAATCTAGTTTTAGCAAGAGTCTCGCTAAATCACTTTAGCAAAAATCACCTCAATATCTCATCACCCTAGCCTGCCTACCTTCAACAACAATCCTCTTGTGACAGTTTAGCTAGAAACTCCTTATTCTTGATGCTTCCTCTTAGCAATTTTCCACCCACTGACTCCTTCCATCTTGGCTGTAATCTCACTTGTCCTTTTCAGAGACAGAGTTGAGTCCGATCTTCCCCCACAATGTGAGACCCCATTGCAGTGCTCCCTGTATTTATCTCCATGGCCCCCTTGAATAAATTCTGCCTCACTAACAGGTGTCATGACTAATTTTTTTTCACTGAAAAATATTTTAGACACTGTATACACTAAAGACAGTTGACAGTAGCATCTCCCCAGGGCCACTGTGCCAGTGCCTTCTGTGAGAATGTGGATGTTGTATGAATCATCTTTTCTTTATTTTCTATATTTTATGATGCTTTGATATCTGGGGACTTGCAGACCCGAGAAGGGACTGCCCCTCCCAGGGTCAGTTAATCCCTAGAGAGAGCAGACAACTTGCCTGTGAGCCCACAATTGGTATACAAATAAGCCCAGGGCCAGGTGCTGGACAACTAGAAACAACCCCTATAGCCCACAGCCTGCCAAAATTATTCTAAGCAGCCAATCCTAATCCCACTCAGCTGCTTGCCATGCTTCACCCATTCCCTCCCATGAAAACCACAGTAAAGGCTCTCGCCCCTCCTTCCCCCTCATTCCTTTTGCCCTTAACCAATCCTGATGCTTCTCTATGTGACTCTCTGTGGCATGGAGTGATCCCTCCTTTCAGGACCTGTGAGTAACAAATTACCTTTTCAATGGCATTTGTCTCCTTATCTGCTGGCCTCACAATACCTGAACAAAAACAAAATCCTGGGTATGTTTAAAAACAGATGTCTGTGAAAAAGATGCTCTCTACCAAGGTTCCCAGGGCAATCAACTCTCAAGGTGCCCTTGAAGGATTTATTGCATGTCCTTGTTAAAGCAAACTAAGTATGGCCTGAGAAGGACTCTGTACTTCTATATTTGAGTCCTTGTGGATGAACTGTAACCTAGCTTAATAGTCAGACAAAATTGGAAACCTAACTTAATAGTATACACCTGTAACAATAGCTGAGTGTTGGCCAATCCCAGCAGCCATATTTCAACCTCTCATAGACTGCTGAATGTTCAAACTGTGTTCAAATAAGGCAAACACTGAGCTGTAACCAATCTTGCTATTTCTGTACCTCACTTCCAATTCCTGTATGTCTTTATCTTTTTTGTCTACAAATTTGTTCTGACCATGAGGCATCTCTGGAGTCTCTCTGAATCTGCTGTGATTCTGGAGGCTGCCTGGTTCGTGAATTGTTCGTTGCTCAATTAAACTCCTTTAAATTTAATTCAGCTGAAGTTTTTCTTTTATCACCCTGAAGCTTTCACTACCACCATCATGTCAGGAAGTCAGAGAGGGGAGGAAGATTCCTCCTCGTGGTTGTCACCTATGGCTCAAAAGCTCCAGAGTACCTTTTGAACATAGTGTCTTCAGCTTCTCTGCCCTCCTTCATAGAGCTCAAATACTAAATTTGGGGGTCAAAATTAGGGCTCAGCTTTCCCATTCTGCACGCTCACCCCTCCCAACCAGCCACAGGCCCACACAAAACTTCCTTGGATGGAGCCCTTTCCCAGGCAAATCAATTGATGTGAATCGACTCATGCAAGTGTCTGCCTCCCAGATTCACTGTCAGTGAAACAGAGGAACCAGCTACTGATAAGGACTATCCTCGAAATTCAGATGCTATTGAACATTAGGATGAATTTCCAAGGTAGATTTACATACTTGCCTTCCAAGACTTTAAAAGTAGAATGATTTATCAAGTGTTTGATTGAAATAAATTGTGAAGGGAACCTATGACGCTACATTGTTCTATACTTTATTGAATTGTATAATATATATCATACATAGTGTAATGCGTGTGTTTATGCATGTGTACCTTATATATACACACATATGTATAATATATATTCACAATTATATACAATAAAAATGTTGCAAAACATAATATGTTCACTCAGAGAATATGTGAACTTCCCTCAGTGTAGAAGCAGCTTCGTTCATGGTTCTCATTAGTAGATAGAGCCAGTAAAAAGGCTGGGCTGGCAAGAGGAGATCTAAGCTAAGATATATTCCCAGAAAACTTACAGCAATTCTTGTTGCTTCCCTTTCCTCGGACACATAGCCTGACTCTAGCCAGAATATAACAGGCCCAAGGCAGAACCACTGACAAGCCCTTTTCAAATGTCTTTCTCCAAAAGAAATTGTCTCATAGGAATCATACTTGGGTATTATGCAATGCCCAGCTGCTCATCAAATTCCTGTTTTCTTCTAGACACTCAGAACTACGCTATTTTCTTGCTTCCCATGAAGTCAGACATGCACCTGTGACTGAATTCTAGGCCATGGAATGTGAGCAGAAAGGATGTGCACTATTTCCAGGCCAAGCCTTGTAAGAAGCGGATCTGCAGGCTGAATGCTGAAGGTGACTATGATGGTGAGGCCATAAGATGACTTGGTCCTTATGGCTCTACATGGACGACAGCCAACCTGTAAGCAGAAATACACACTAGGAGTTTAGGTGAGGACAAAACAAAATTCTACAGCATCTGAGCCCTTTTACGTGTGGGGATCTATTTGCTGCCACAGCTCAGACTCTCTACTAAGACTGGTATCTACTGTTTCAGCAGCTTGAACCACAAGCTGATGTTCCTCCATGCTCCAGCCAACACCAAAGGTCATTTTCTATTTCCTCTGGTTCTCCCACACTGGAATGGCTGAAATCCCACAGGCTGTGGAAGCTACTGAAGATCAAAGCTATTCCATGCCAGACAAATGCTTCTTCAAACCAGCATCTAACGATTCTACTTCAGGGATTAGGGAAAGAATACATTTTGTGATTGCTTTTAATTGGTACCTGTCGTCTGCTTGATAGAATTTTATTAACAGAAGTGTAAACATTCATTGCAATCTCAGAACACAGGAATCTTAAGCAGCTTATGAAATTCAATCAAAGTTCTTTTTATCTTTAGTGTTTGCTGATAACTCATTAAATGTTTCTCAATGTTACAAGTTCTACAGCAGAAATATGCCTTGCAAATAAAAGTGATAATGTAGAGATGTTAACACAGCAAAAAGGTTGAGGGTTGCTCAACACTGCACAAAGTAGTAACAACCTTTCACTATAAAAGACTACTATTAACAGGAGAATAAATAGTCCATAGATATTACTATTTAAAAAAAATGAATAGAATCTACCAATTTTTTGCCCACCATCCCAATGTTATCAAACCCGTGTACATTTCACACACACACACACACACACACACACACACACACGCATGCACATATACTTTTTTTGTAGAATTTAAGTTCTCTAGATAACCCCAGGAGATTTTACAGTGAATCTAAATTCTACTGGAGATGGAAATGTTCTTGAGGCCTGTAGTCCATTTGATTCTCTGGAATGCAGTTGTTTTGTAACAGTCTAATTCTAGCAGATCTGCTCACAATAAGGCAGTAACAAATCTCATGATTTACACTCACTCAGCGGCTTAGGTACTGAGGTGTTAAGTGACAATATGGCGAACTAAATCTCAGTTTCTCCATTGGTTAATGTGCATCTACAAAGTAGAATCAGACAAACAGGCTATGACTGTATTAAAAACAAATCTGGATTAGGCTGATGGAATGGAAGTCCTCACATCTAGGCCAATTTTATAGTGCCCACACTGGCTGGTATGAGTGTTTCATGTTTAACTGGGAGGTGGTTTCTCTGAACACAGAAACCAGACATCAGGGGGTCTTTCTGGAATTAGGTGACCCAGTTTCACTGCTGACACTCTCCAGATATGCAGCATAGGAGGGGACATACTCAGCAAGAAGCCTCTGCTATAAGCTCCTAAGTGACACCAAGAGAAGCACTCTCTGAGAAATTCGTCACAGCAACTTTCTGACCATTGGAAAAATCCCTTTACTTGAATGTCACAGAAGCCAATGTGATCAGAGGCCAACAAAATGGTACAGAGATGCTGTAGGTCTCAACCTCAGTCATAGTTGAGTTTTTATATCTGGCTACATTGAAATCTGAATAAATCACCCTGTTAAAATAATATTTGTCACATTGACATGTAAATGCGACTCTACATGTCTGATTTCTGTCTGTTTAACCCAGAGATAGGCACCATCAGCGAGTCTTTCTGGGTTTTGTTACTATGTTGTTCTCTTCTTCTATCTCTTGCGATGGATGGTTGGGAGTAAGGAAACGACTCAAAAATATGAGCTGGACCTACTGGGGTCTTACATTGTGGCTTTGTCTAAAGCTAGTCTTGTTTGCCCAGCTCCTCCCTTGCCCAGGATAGTCACAGAGTGGCCTGTAGCTCCTCTGGTGGCCTCATTTCTCCATGCCATCATGGCCCCGGGGAAATTCACTTTCACTCCAAAATGCCACTCTCACGGTCATCCTCCACAGTCATCAGTGCAAGCATCATCCATCTGACATTCTATCCTCTTCACACTGCTTAGCACCAGTTTCTGCAGTTCAAGGGACATTCAGTCCTAGTGCCTCTTCTGCTACCATTATGCCACCGTCCACCCTGTCAATTTTCTCTTACTATGGGAATTAAAACTCTATTGGCAAGTGCTGTAGAGTTTAAATCTTTGGAACACAAAAGAACTCTTCTATCTTTGCTGGGCATAATGCTTAGCCTTTAGAAATGAAGGCTTATCTTCTTCAGATGATGCAATAGTTCATTTCCCATTCCCCAAACCTGCCTCTTCAATGCAACTGTTGGTCACATTTGCACATCCCACTCCATGAAGTCCTCAAAAACACACCCTGCTCAAATAGGATTCATCACCCGGTAATGCAACTTTTTATCTGTAAAGCCTCCATGACTAGATTGGGGAAGGTTTTTGCTAGTGTATATTAGTCATCTTTTTATCCCCAGCACATAGAAAGCAGTGCCTGACACAGTAGATACCCAGTATACTCTTAATGAATGACTTTTTAAATTTTTATCAATTTAGCAGTACACATTCTTAAGCATGACACCATAATTATCATCTCTTCCCTTTACATCATGTTCTCCTTTTCCTTCTTTCTTGTAATTGCTTCAGAGGAGCAACCACACTGGAAATTGACACCTTCTTTCTTCTGTAATATATTTCACTCTAATCAGACTTGCCAGCAGAATGACTTGGGCCAGAGCACAGCCCTGTAATTTAATGAGTAAAGTGCATTTAGCAGGTAATAGATGCCTCAAAAATTCACTTTAGCTACATTTAGCTTTGGTCACAGCAAATAATTAAGAGCCCTTGGCTACTCTTCCTTCTCAAATAAATACAATGTGAATCTAGAAGATGGTAAATTAAGTTTCAAAACCTGCTGGTCGGCCTCATATCTTCTATCAGCCAAGTGGTCGCCAGAGTAAATAACACTCATTTCTCTCCGTGTCAAGACTTGGTAAGTTTGGACTGCTCTGAGTGTGGCTGCATGTTCTCCTTTCCCTTTGTGCCTGGGACCTCACCAATAGCTTCAGCTGTGGGTCTCAGGAAACAGACTTCATCTGGTTTACATTTCCTTTGAGCCCTACTCTACAGGCTAATGGGGAGATTTCAGATTTCTTTGCTAACACTATGGGCTAAGTAATGAAAATCCCAGTGGAATTCAGACTTCCTCAGTATTTATATATGTCTGTGGGGGCAATTTTGAGTTAATAATCTTTTCCTGAAACCACTTTATATTTCACAATTATTTCTGGCATTATTCCCTCTTTCCCAAAGGAAATTTCCTTAAGTTTATTGCTAGCACATACATAAAATGGTCATTCTAAAATGCTATGATATTGTTTGACTTTTTAGTTTACTCAAACTAATTTAAAAACAGCATAAATTAGTTTACTTAAACTAATTTATAACATTTGTTATGTTTTAATATAAGGATTTAAAGAACAATTATGAAATAGGAAAATTTTCAGAAGTACTTGGTCTTAATTACCAAGTTATTTAATCTAAACAAAGCCATAAATTTATCTGTTTACTTCTCTTCCTCCATTTCATTTCAACAACAAATACATGGGTTCAGTGGGATGATTTTAGTTTGGTTTAGATTCATTCTCCATCATACAACTGTTAAATTCTTCAAAATATTAACGACTTGGGCACCTCAGGTATTCCATATTACTTAGAAATTGGGACTTTCTAAAAAACCCTTCTCATTTAAATAAAATTTATCCTATTGTAGATTGACATAGTTGTGAATTATGACCTAGACTGCTTTCATTTCTATGTCTTTGGCTTTGAAATTTTACCTAAGTAGCTCATATGTGACGTTCCAAAGTGCTAGTGTTAACACAGGCCGAGGAGATGCCTGGTTTATCAGATGCAGTTTGGAGAAGCTGGTTTCTTTCCTTCTCTTTTTAAGAGTCTCCTGTCCCTTCTGAGGCTCCATAGCAGCCCAGTGAACTGCAGGAGTTGGGCTGCTTTTCATGTGAAGTCAACCATCTTGTTTTGTGGGATACTCTTCATCTTCAATTACAGCTATTGGTAATGGGCTCTCTGGTCGGCCAGCGTGGTTAACAGGCAGGAGGGCAAACAGGGAAGCAACAGAGAGGGGATGAGGCCACGGTTCCGGGACTGCTGCCACCATTTGCTTATTATGAGACAGCAGGCTCAGCTTCTCTGTCTTTCAAATAAAAGCAATAAAACGTATCTTAACAATTTCAGAGGGCTATTACAAAGATAAAAAGTGGTGGATATATTTTTTAATGCATCTAATATGCTATTATTTTAAAGATGATGCTATAAACCCAACAGAAAAATAAATCATTTTTTTAAAAAGCAATTTATAAAAGTGAAAATACTAACCATCAATAAACATATAAAGATGTTACCTTCTATAGTGATTAAAGACATACAAATTAAACTGATAAAGTTTTTTTTAAATATTGACTCATCAGGCTGATGTGGGCGGTAGGAAATGAGTTTTCTTGCATATTGTAGGTGGAAGTATAATTTGGCCTAACAATAAAGGGAAACATTTTTCAAATGAATACAATTTAATATACATAAGCTTCATCCAGGAATTCTACTTATAAAAATCTATTCTAAGAAGATAACCAGAAAAGTATGCAAATATCTGTGTATAAGGATGTTTGGTACAATATTATTTATAATAGTGAAAAGTGTAGTTAGAATAAGCAGTAAAGTTATCATTTTGACAGGATATAAATGATATAATGGGCAGAATTTATTTTGAGTGCATTTAAGGCAAACTGGGAAGACGCTGCATTGTCAAATGGATTCACCTTTTTTTCTGAAAGTAATATTTGAGAGACGAATATAGACTGTCTAACAGTGCACAGGAAATCTGAGTTTGAATCACATTTTCAAGACATATCTTCTTTGTCCTAGTCATTCTGTCTCATTCCATAAACTTCTATTTTGCTAAATTAAGATTACAGCTTTCAGCATGTTTCAAATACACTCATATGACCCCTTCTCCACTGCCAACTCACATGCATGCACACACACACCCCACATTTTAACTACAAATGCTAACTTCAGGGGAAAACGTCAGAAAATGTTTCCTTCCTTCAGGTTAATGGCATACTGATATGACTTTCTGAAGGCTAGGAAGGTCTTTCCTATAGATATGAGCCTTGGGCAATGGATTTGTCATCGTTTTCCTAGTTATTACATGTTATTTCAATTGTTCACAAGTAAAGCAGAAGAGACTGTTGTATTAGGAAAGTATCAGAAGAAAGGGAGAAGGAGTCATCAATATACTCCAGTATTTTTAAGAGTACCTGAAACATAGCAGATGTTCAAGAAATATTTGCTGAGTGAATAAATATTGTCTCCCTTGCTAGAGACTCACACCATGAGCATGGCCTTTGCTGAGAGTAGTATCACAGCTGATAAGGCTGATTTACAGCTGGATGCATCACAGGCAGACTATGACTAAAAGTGGCTTTTTTTGGAGAAATTCCCACTACTTCATAATAATTTAATGAGGACATGAAGCAGTACAGAATCTCTACTCTTAGGGGTTCCATATCACCAACTCAGCTTCACCAAAGGTAGATTGTTAAACAAATCTTTCCTTTGTCCTGAGAAACACTGATTAAAATGAGGTGGCATTAGTACTGTTCTTTACATTTCTTGACATATTAAAATATAAGTTCTAGGGATATGATGTATAGCATGGGAACTGTACTTAATAATACTGTATTATATACTGGAAATTTCCTAAGATAGTAGATCTCTGCTAAGAGAGTGTTCTCACCACACACACACACACACACACACACACAGAGACACACACACACACACACAGAGACACACACACAAATGGTAACTATGTGAAGAGATGGATATGTTACTTAGCTTGACTGTAGTATTCAGTTCACTATGCATATGTATAGCAAAACATCATGTTGTATACCTTACATATAGACCATTCTTATTAAAAAAATTAAAAATTTGTAAAAAGAAATACATTCTGGTTATAAAGGCTGTATCCTATGCTTGTTACCTGAAAGGAGGAAAAAAGGAAGTCTCTGATCATTCATGTACCACAGAATGTACGGAAGTCTTTTTCTCACTTTTTGGAGGTCATTTTCCATTCTATTTCATTCCTCTCCTCCTGAGCTCATTTCCTGAGCCTGCTCAATAACTCTTAAAGTGTTCCCACCAAGTCAGGATAACTACACCCATCATGATTCATAGAGGTGACCAACTCCATTCTACAGTTTTTTCCTCAATGATAGCCTGCGGCAGTGGGCAAAACCCAGGAATTTATATGTCTACCCTCTTTAGAAAAGACTCATTTCTTCTAAATAATCACAGTAATGAGATCTTCACAGAGCAGCCACAAAAAACCACTTTGTACAGGAAGAGGAAAAAATATCTTAGATTGGGTCTTTTTAACCAAATAAAAAAGAATATTGAGCTAGTTATGAGGTTATTCTAGAAATGGTTGCATCTTAATTTGGTCTGTTTAGTTTGTTCACTTTCCTTCAGTTCTCCAACCTCATAGTCCATCTACATATAGTTTTGTCAGCATTATGATTTGATCACACTACAACTCAGATTTGCCTAGAAAAGGTTGTTTCTATACTATTCTATATACTAGAATCTATATAATAGTCTATAGTCTTACAACCACTCTGACCTTCCTCATACGCTGTCTCCCAGGGCAAAAGGGAAATTTAACTGGTCCCATTAATGGCAAATCAGCTTACAACTGTCTCTTTCAGATAAATCTTCAGTCTTCTGCAGCCATGCTCCATGCCCTTTCTCCTCTCTGTCCCCATCAAAGGTTGTATTCTTTGTCTGCCTGTTGAGCCATTTGTCTGCTTGCTACGTGGACATCTGTGGCCAGTGAACTTGAGCTCTGTTTTCCCTTGGGGTGGATCTCCCTGCCATGATCATCTACCTATTCTCAGCCACTCTGCAGTGGTCGTGGCCTCCCCATCTTGTACTAGAAGTCTGCCCAGCAGACACAAGGTCACTTAAAGCCCACCTCTAAAAAGTATGCCTCCCTGTTGCTCAAATTCACCCATTAGTGCCATTAGTTATTTTTTGCATCTATAAGTTTTACTTTAATATAGCTGCCAAAGTGGTGTTGAGACCACCCTCTGAGATGAATCCCAAGTGGGAACTGAGACAAACTCCTCTCAGCTTTTGCCTTCCCTTCAGTCTTTCCAGTGCAGCCCTCACCCTAAGACTGTGTCATGGACTGAGGTTGGAGTAAATGTGTAGAGCACACACCTCTGTCTGCCTCTCGAAACTCTGTGCTCTTTTCCTCCCCATAACCCACCAGTGTTATCACCATACCCCCTTCCTTAGAAGTGTAAATGATGAACAAGATTTAACTGAGCAGAGAATATAAATCAGGGGCTTTAAAATTATTCTTTACATTAAAAATAGTGGTACCATGTGATCCAACAATTCCATATCTGGGTATATACCCAAAGGAATTGAAAGCAAAACTTAAAGAGATATTTGTACACCCATGTTCATAGCAGCATTATTCACAATAGCCAAAAGGTGGAATAAACCCAAATGTCCATCAACAGACGAGTGACTGAACAAAATGTGGCATATCCATACATTGGAATACTATGCAATCTTAAAAAGGAAGAAAAATTTGACACCTGCTACAACACGGATGAACTTGGAGGACATCATGCTAAGTAAAATAAATCAGCACAAAAAGACAAATAGTATATGATTCCACCTATATGAGATACCTAGAGTAGTCAAATTTATGCAGCCAGGAAGTAGAATGATGGTTGCCAGAGACTAAAGAGAGGGGAGAATGGGGAATTACTGCTTAATGGATATAGAATTTCAGTTTTGCAAGATGAAAAGCATTCTGGAGAGGGATGGCGGTGATGGTTGCACACTATGAATGTACTTAATATACCACTGAACTATACCACTTAAAAATAATTAAAATGGGAAATGTTATATTATGTGTAATTTACCACAATGAAAACTTTTCTTAATGTATTTATTATGCCTGTTTACATCAGCACAAAATATTGAACAGAAAAAAATTCTATGAGATGGCATGTCTAGGAGGCTTGTGTATATTCTGGCTCTAGTGACACTAAAAGCAGTGATTTGGTGATTCTAAAAGGAGGAAAGTAGGCAGGGAAGAAAGGGATCTTGAATAATGTGGGAAAGTCTTCTAGAAAGCCCTTCACCCAGAAGGTATTCAGGTTTGCTTCACTAAACGAATGCCCTGCCACTTTGTTTATAACAAAAGAAGGTTCATAATACTTATTTTTTCTGAAATTTCTGCTTTGCATACAGGGCCATACTGTTGCCCAATTCCAAAGAACACAACTGGAGTTTTAGTCTCTGTAAATAGTGCTGCCTGGAGTTGTGGAATACTCCGTTGTATCCACAGTTCCTAGAATAGTACATGGTAAATAGGAAACAGTAGAAGGAAAGAAGGAAGGAAGGAAGAAAGAAAGAAAAGAAGGAAGAAGAAAGGAAGGAGGAAAAAAGAAAGGAAAGAAGGAAAGGAATTATATATATAAACTCCTTCTATGACATGTTGTAATTCTTTTTGATGATAGAGTTTGTTGTATTTAATAAATGTCAACTTGGCTAGGCTATGGTTTGGTCAAACACCAGTCTAAATGTTATGTTGCTGTACAGTTATTTTTTAGATATTTCACCTATAAGAAATATGTTTAATATTTAAGTCAGTAGACTTTGAGTAAAACCAATTTACCTCTATCATCTGGGGGGCCTCACCCAATCAGTTGAAGGCCCTAAAAGAAAAGACAGAGGCCCCTGAGGAAGAAGGAATTCTGCCTCCAGGCAGCACAGCTTTCAGATTTGAGACTGCAATATCAATTTTTTCCTGTGTTTCTAGCCTGTCACCCTGCTGTCTGGATTTCAGACTTGCCAGCCCCATAGTCATGTGAGCCAATTACTTGAAATCTCTCTCTCTCTCTCTCTCTCTCTCTTTCTCTCTCTCTCTCTCTCTCTCTCTCTCTCTGTCTTTCTGTGTGTGTGTGTACGTGTGTGCATATACACATTCTATTGGTTCTGTTTCTCTGGAGAACTCTAATACAGATTTTGGAACTAGGAATGGGATCTATAAATCCTCATGTGGCCCCACCCCACCAGCCATAATCATGGAATTAAGGAGAGGAACCAAAATTAGAAAAACTCAACCAATGGAAATATCAGGTTTACATTCTCATTAGAGCAAAAATGGCAAGTTGATTTCACATCACTTGGCAACTCTTACCTATTGGTAGAAGCTACCCGGAACACGGTACTGAGAATGATTCTGAGGCACAATCCAGGATCAGCAGAAAAACATACTGTGATTGAGAACTGGAATTTGTCCTGGGCTCATCCTAGGCAATGTATTTACTATCTTTACTTTAGATGACAGAGCTCGAAATACTTTCTGTGGATAGAAATAAGCATAGAGAAATATCCAGATGACATTATACTTCATTTTAATAGGCCTCGAATATTTTCACTTCTTTGGGGTCCTAGACGGCTCTATTTAAATTTGAGTATAACATTTATTCTCTTTATCCTCCTGTCCATGTTCTCTTTTGTCCTCTCAAAGAAACTCCAAACCAAGGTGTTCAGCCTTGTAAAAGACAGAAATGGAGAAATAGCCTCTCATTCTGCCTTTCACACCAATATACTCCATTCACTCCAAGGAAGCTGCACAATTCCCTCAGTCTACCCAACCAGTGGGAAACACCCCTCAAAGCCCAAAATGTATGATTGGGCTATAAATTTAGAATTTATACTTTGTAGAGTTGGTTTTAAGTACAGCAGTCTATTTTCTTTTCCATGCTGAAATCTCATAATTCAGTAGTGACTTTGATCTACAATAAAATATTGTTGACTTGCCTCAGAAAGATTTTCATTTGAGTCTCTCTAAGAAACACCAAACATGGTGAACTGCAAAATTAAAACTCTCTGTTGAAAGAGCATGGAAGTTTTTACTCTTGACATTCTAGAAACTCTCATAGATAAACAAATCTCCTTTTGGGTCATTCCATTAACTCACTTATTCATTTAGGTATTCACTCATCAGGCTATGAACATCAAGTATACCCAAAAATATAGGCTCTTTCCCAAAGTGGTGAAACCTAGTGGCAGAAGTCATATAAGTTAACAATCAAAATACCAAGTAATAAGTCTTATGATAGAGTTGCTCACAGTTTTCTCTGTTAGCACAAAAGAGGGATAGCTGACTATCCAGGGAGTAACGAGTGTCAGCAAGGTCTCCCTGAAAGAAGGTAGCATTTCATCTGCATCTTGAAAAGCAAGTAGAAGTGATCCAGTTGATGAACGCGAAGTCAAGAGCTTTAAAGAGAAGAAAATGCAAGCACAGTCTCTAGGTCAGACAAAACACAGCCTCTTCCTGGAACCGCTAGAGTCGAGTGTATTCAGGGAAAAGTAATGAGAGAAGAGACTGGGGAAGAAAGCAAGGCACCTGCAATGCCTGTCTGAAGAAACTTTGTGTTATGAGGGGAATGGACCTTATTCTGAAGGAGAAAGGAAGCATTAAATTGAATAAAGCAAGAAGGTGACAAAATCAATCTTGCTAGTTAGCACACTGTCCAGATTTCTCTCTCCATATCTGCTCACCTCTCTCATTTGCATTTTAGGACTACCTTGGTTTCAGTGAAGAGTACATACCAGATGGAGACTAACCTGACACCAGTTACAGATCAATTACAGTGATCACCCATACAAGGAATGTTGAGGGATTGAAATAAGAGAGTGGAAAGGCTATAAACCAGCAGGGGATAGATTCAGGAAATATGGATTGACAGGATTCAGCCAACAATCAAGTGAAAATGTAGTATGACTTAAGTGAGAGAGGAAGATATACCTGCAGGTGAAAATTATGCATCCCCAAATTGGATATGTCATAGAGTATGTTTCTTGAAAAATGGCAACAGCAAGAAAGACTGGTATTTATATTTTAAGGCAAATAAAAATTTCAGCACCTGGCTGTTAGTTTGCTGCATTATTAGCTATACAGCAAACAGATGGGAAGGATGTTTGGGAGAAAGGAGAGATCATTTCACATTGGGATGGTAGGGAGCCATATCTCCTGTTACTCTGGCTCTTGCATAAGCAATTTACTATCAACCTGTGATTAGCTGAGCTTAGGGGGGAGCAGAAATAATGAAGCAATCACTCCAAAAAGTATCAGTGTTTGACTTTAGAAAGCACTTTTGAAATGACATGACTACAAGTCTAACTCTTATTCACGGAATTCACATTATAAACCCTATAATTAAACCAGATGCAGAGATGTGATTTGAAAGTTGGAAACTACTGCCACAACCTGCCTCCCTGCTCAACTCTCACAAATTGTTTCTCTTGTGTCTGCATCTGATCATAGCATACAAGTCTCCAGGCCTATAAAATTGCTACCTTCTATTCTTGCTCCCTTTAGCCATTTGCTTTTGGTTATTTGAAAGCAGATAGTCTAGGCAGGACCAGCTACAGAATTTGCAAAGCCCAGTCAGTGCAAAATAAAAATGTGGGGCCCCTTGTTAAGAAATTATTAAGAGTTTCGTAATGGCAACTGCAGAGCATTAAACCAAGTGTGGGGCCCTTCTAAGAGTGGAAGCTGGTGGGACTGCACAGATCACATACCCATGAAGCTGGCCTTGAACTTCAACTTTGCTGTAAAACAGGTGAGCTAAGTTGTGTTATGGGTGGTGCAGAGGATGGGAAAGAAGGAGGCAGCATAGACTTATTGCCTCGTTACACTTCTTGAAATAAAAGAGATACGTATTTTATAGTCTGACAAAATCAAGCCAACCTGAAGCTACCCACTTGTGTCTATCATTAGCACTTTACTCATTAAGCAGATGGATTAATCATGGGTAAACAAAAGGGAACAGCTGAAAATACCATTCGCTATAGCTAATGGCAATTCTAATTTGAAAATGAAATGATAGGTGGGTCTATCAGTTATCAAGATACATTAATTAAATGAAGCATTCTCCCAACTATTGTGTGGGGTGCTCAAAGGAGGAGAATTGAGGCATACCAGCTTCAAACTACATTCTCCATGGCACTCGAACCAAGTCTGGGAGTGAGGATCAATAATGAGCCAGATCTAGATTTCAGAGAGGGACCTCCTTCACCTCCATTCCCAAAGTGAGGCCTCTGACAGTTGTGGAGTGAAACAGAAAAGATGGAGAAAAAGATACAGGGAAGGCCCTAACACTAACCTTAATCCTAACTTACCTATAGATTGGCCGGTTAGAGGAACTCCCTCTGAAAAGGCAGAAGCTGCAGGAATCCAAAGTTTCACTCGCTGCTCAATGCATTTTCATTTAGTCCATTTATTTATCCATTAAAGTAAAACACATACACACCCAAATGCACACTCATATTTTTGGGTCCCTGCTGGGACTGGAGCACACTAAGCTTGTGGTCTACACTATATAACTAATTCACCTTAGGTAGGTAAGTTCACATTACAAATTCTTACAATCCTAACAGCTAATCTATTGCAACACATCTATGAACTGGTTCCCATGTCCTGGGCCTGAAAGAAGTTGCCATGGGACTTAAGTAGATACAAGAGATCTGGAGAGATTTGATGACAGCCATGTCTTCTTCCTATTCCTGTGTATTTAATCCCTAGGGGAGCTGATTGGAGACATTCTGATTACTCTCTTATAGACTGGAGCAAAGTGAAAAGAAATTAGGTAGAAACTGTTAGATTTGGAAAGTAAACGTTTAGGACTGGTAGATTTGGGTGTATCTAGTACATTTTGCAGACTAAGAGTTATTTGTAGTGTTTTAAGGGATATTTTACCAATTATACAGGCAGAGTGAAAAAAAAGGATAATATCTAGGGTTAGCAAGCGCCAACTTTCCAACTCACTAGCTATGTGACTTCCAGCAATTCACTTAATCTCTCTAAATTTCTAGCTTCCTATCTATAAGATTGGAATATAAATACCTACTCCTAGGATTGTTCTTTGGATTTAGTGAGTTAAAATATGTAAGGCCCCAGGCACAGTTCCCTGAACATAGCTGACACTTTAAAAATGTTACTTCCCTTATTCATTCTTTCCTTTGGTCTTCACCCATTCTTCCTGGAATTACAAAAAATATGTGCTTTTCTCTGGAAAGGCATCACAATCTTTTTTTCAGAATGAAACAAGTGTATTAGATGTGAAACATGTTGTCTTCTAAAACCTAAGATCCTGAATTTAAGTCCTACTAGTCCTCACCATGTGTTCCTGCTACCAAAAGTTTATATCCAATGATTTTCACTTCTTACTCTGCTGAATTGTATGACTTCTTTAACAGGAAACAAATCTACAAGAAATGTCTTGATTTCCTGAGGGAGTTTCTGAATACACCCTTTCACTTCAGTGATGTGGAGACATTCTATACTGAAGCACATGGTTCTAACAACAGTATTCATTAACCCTACAGCAAAGCTAGTGCTAACGACATTCTGTGAAAAGGAGGTGATTCACAGTGTGAGGTGCACATTACCTTGAGACCATTAAATTATATTTTAGAAAATGCATAGAAATACAGTCCTATGTAAAAGTGCATGCACATACACAATAAATCCAGACAACTCATAGCCTCTTGTTGGAAAGACTGCTGTGGGTAATGGTGCTTCTGGAAAATAGAAACCAACTGGGATTACCTCAAGTAAATATAGACAACCATAAAACGCAGAATTATCTATGTTTCATTATATAATAATGCCTCTCCACCACAACTACCATGCCGGGTCCCCAAGTGACCAGTTTATTAGCTTGGAGAGATATCTGTGGCAGATAGTAGCTGGCTACCTAATATATATTCTCTTCTTTTTCTGTGTTGACATAACTCTGATTTTATTTGGGGCCGCTAGATAAACATTTTCTAACCTTTCTTAAAGCTAAAGGTGACCAGGTGGTGTAGTTCTAACCAGAGTGAACAGATATTTTTCTGGGGATTACTGAGAAAGTTTTGCTTTCCCAATAGAGGTGCCATCACATTTTCTTTGTTGTTTTCTCTTTCTGCAAACCCAGTAGCTAATGCTGCAGCAGCCATCTTGCCACCATGAGGAAAAGGCCAAGAGAATAGCAAAGACTGCAGCCTTGATATCCTTGAGCCACTGAATCCTGAGGATTGCCCCAACTTCTTTAAGCCATTGTTATTTGGGCTTTCTTCTGAAAACACTCCCAAATTGATAATCTTCTTACCTAGCCAGAAATTTCTGTAAGATTCATTTCTTCAGAGCATATTAGCCCTGAACCACATAAGGTTCAATTGTCACAGGCTTCCTGAAAGAGAGATCAACTAGTTTTTTCCCATTTTCACATGAACATGAATTGTATACTAAAGTGAAATGGACCATAGATTCTAGAGACAGAAAGCCTGTGTTCAAATACTAGCTCCATACTTATGACTTAATAGCCATTGCCAGGTTACTTTTCCTTGAACCCCCATTGCCTTATCTCTAAAACATGCATCATAATATTTGCCACATCCTGACTGCCTTACTTATTGAGATGACCAAAGGAGATGAAGTCTTTGAGTTTGTTTTTTAAACTGCCAAGCATCTAAACAAATGGTAATTAGTGTGACAAGGAAAATGTCATCTTCTTCATCTCTGTATCCCCAGTACCAAATACAGTGTCTGTGCACAGTTGCTCATTATACATTTGAGATAAAGATTAACTCTGTTTTGTTTTCTTTTACACAAATTAAGTAGAGGATACATTGGAAAACAGAACCAAGCCCTGCCTATCTTGTACAAGAATGGCAAATATATAGCATGCATACCTACACTCTCCCCTTCTTCTCTAATCAGACACTATCAATCAGTCCTCCCAATGAAACGAAATTACTCTCAACATAATGCCTTAGACAGTCACTACAAATTCAACAGCGTCATAAAAACAAGGATTATCTGGACCATAAGGGAAAAAGTTGGGTACTGTGATAACTGGAGGTAAAGATCAGCCAGGACTGAGCATGAGATCTTTAGAGGCAGTGCCATAACATAAGAAACAGAGTGAAATATTAGGTCCCCGATGAATGGGAAATGACAGAGGGCACCATCCAGGAGCACAGCCGTGGGATCAGTGGTCAGGTCTGGCAGTGGATGGGAGTGGCTGAGGTCCAGGAACAAGGAATCATCTAGTCAACCAGGAGGCAGCCAAGCATCTTCACTCCTTCATCTCCACCTCCCACCACTGCCACTCCATACCCTTGCTCTACCTCCCTTCTTTGTATCTCACTGTTACCTGTCTTCTTTTCTTCATCATCTTAGAATTCTTTCTACCAAGGGTCAGCCTGACCCAGTAGAAACGCTTTGCAACCAGATGGACCTGGACTTCCATCTTATTCTTTACAGAAGACTAGGAAATCTCTGCTGAATCTCTTCATCTCTACATCTGCCAAGTGAGACAATAACGGAAACCTATAGGCTTGTGGTAAACATGGAACACACTTATCTGTGTAAAGTACATAACATGGGGTCAGATGTATTGTTAAAGCTCTTTCTCAGCTGAAGTAGGACTCCATTTGTCTTCTAATATCTTGGACACATTGCTATCTCACAGAAATAAAGAAGTTTCTAGAAGATTCATAATGGTTCCAAACATTTTATAAGGGCTCGGTGAATATTCTAACCCATGAAGGAAAAGAAACCTACTTTGAGCAAATAATAAAGTCATAGGTCTAGTTTGAAGAAGGTACTTTGAAAATTTCAATGAAATTTCACCCTTCAATGGGACCTTAACCCTATTCTCAGATAAGCACTGGCTATCAGACATGTTACAGTTTAATAAACTTTTTAATGAAAGGACCTCCAGATTCCACTTATATTTTCCAGTGAAATTCTATCTCCTCAAATAATTTTTAAGCATATGGAATTTATTTTCCCTCACACCTGGCTATATTTAATTTGTTATGAGAGGTTCCTGACTGTGTTATATGACCTATTCCCATGACGCTTAAGAGTTAAATGTGTTTCCTGCTTTCCTGAATTTCAAATAAACGAAGAAAATAACCAATCCTTGAATACACAAATGTAATATCCTGAATCTATACACATACACACACACATACACACACACACACACACACACACACACACACACACACACACCATGTTCCTGCTTTCTATTAACTTGCAGTTTGTGGGTATGAAATAGGAGAGAAGTAATATGGATGAGGAAATTATGTACCACTTAAAAAGAATTACTTAAATTTTTCTTATTGTGGTTACTCTTAAATGCTCTCATCCATTCTAATAATTTAGTGTGTTACTGACACCTTAATAAGTTATTTATTTGATTTATCTGGGGGTTTTCTAGTAAGCTAAATACTGTGATTACTTAGAATAGCATATCAAATTTGAAAAGGAGAAATCATCTAAAAAACAGCCACAAAAACATAATATCCAATTCCAATGTAGCAATATGTTTTGGAAACTCTTAGGCCTATCTTAAGAATAAGGTATTCAATACTTATTTTGTAAAAGCACGACTATTCTAAATTTGTTCTTATGAGATATCAACTCTATCTCACAAAGATGATCTTACATTCTATATCCATAATTTAACTATTTTTTCTTTTTCATAATTTCAACTATTAAGTGGTATTTTATACTGAAAATGCATATAGATTGCATTACATATCCTGCTTTGCAGGTGTAAAGGTAGTGTGGAATAGTGAAGAAGCACCATCTGAACAGCCAGACATGTAAAATAGTTCCTTCTACCACTTACCGTGGGCAAGTTTTAAGCAAGTTGTGTCATTTCTCTGGGTCCAGTGAAATAAGGTTAATATTTTTCCCATCTCAAACCAAGTTGCTGGACAGTATGATCCAGGGAAGAGCTTAAGAGTATGATCTTTGCAGTGCTAATTACTAGCCATGCAGCCTTGGGTGAGTCACTTAATCTCTGGATCTCAGTATCTTCACTGAGAGGTGAAGGTTAAATTTGATGATACCTACAAGCACTTGGTCTGGTCCCTAAACATGCTATGGTAAGAGCACTATATGATTCATGTACTATGGTTTTCTTCATTCATATATTCCAAGGACCTAGAAGACAGTCCAACACATGAGGTGCTTAAGAAGTATTGTTAATTTTAACCCAGTGTATTCACAGGTTTTCATACTGCTATTATGAACTTCCCTAAGACTGGGTGATTTATAAAGGAAAGAGGTTTAATTGACTCACAGTTCCACATGGCTGGGTGGGGGCCTCAGGAAACTTACAATCATGGTGGAAGCGGAAGCAAACACGTCTTTTTTCGCGTGGCAGCAGGAGAAAAAAGGGCCAAGCAAAGGGGCAAGAGCCCCTTATAAAACCATCAGATCTTGTGAGAACTCACTCATTATCATGAGAACAGCGTGGGGGAACCGCCCCCATGATCCAATCACCTCCCATCAGTTCCTCCCTCATCACCTGGGGATTACAATTTGAGATGAGATTTGGGTGGGGACAAAGAGCCAAACCATATCACCCAGGTACCTTCTGGGGTCATCCTGACCTATCTCACATTCTGTAGAAAATTCAATGTCCTACTCAAGAATTTTACACATTTATTGAATCTTACTACTCTCTCTCTCTCTCTCTCTCGTCTGGTTCAGATTTCTAGCTTTTGGGTACAATGTACATTATTCGGGCAACAGTTACACCAAAAGCACAGACTTCACCACTGTGCAACATATCCACGTAACAACACCACACCTGTACCCCTTAAATTTATATTAAAAAAAGATTTCTACCTTCTGTTGTTTGTTTCTGTTTTTGGTTTTCTCTATTATAAGGCTTTATAAGGAAAACTTTCATTCCTTTATTTTCATGATTACTTTTTATTGATTAGTCCCTCCCCCAAACTCCCACACCCTCAACACAGATAAACAGATGCCACTCTCATAATGAAACTACATCAGTCTTAGTCACAAGGAGGACTGAGAAGTAATGGAGAGATGGGCTAAATTGCAGAACTGTGCACAAGACGACCTACACTTGAATGTTAACTATTTGAGAAAGTCCCTGCTTCATAGGACTGTCCTACCCTAAGGGGAAGTGAGGGAGTCACAAGAAATAATAATGAGAACTCCTATAGCAACTATTTTGAGTATGTATATTGTATTATTGTTCTTCTGGTGAAAAATTATTTTAGAAGCTAGCATCAGAATCTATCTCATTTGTTTATTTATCAAGGTCTATTTATTTACCATGTGTAGGGATAAAAAATAAAAAAGCCTAAATACGTTCCAACTCTCCTTTAAGTTGAGCTCATAAATACACATCCTTCCATCAGCCAGGGCATATCAGAAAGCATCTGACAATGAGTATTGCAATCTCTCTTAAGTGGATTGTGTACAACCTGTGCTAGACATCACAGGTTTCATTTCTGAAGCATTCAGCAATTTGTTTAGGAAAATGTCATTCAGAGCGCCAAAAGAGCATCTGTCTAAATCCAAAGTTAGTCTCTGACTTTCCGTGTGTATTGCCGCCAGGAAGGCATACTGGAGGAATGTAACAGGGTGTTTTTCAAAGTGTTCTTTTGTAATTTAGAAACCTGTTAAGTCTTAAAATGAGACTGTGAGGAGATGGAAATCAAGTAAATGTTCTTTTCAGCAAAATGGATCATTTACGATAAGAGAAATATATTATTTAATGTTATTTTCCCTACTCTCAGGACTATTAAGAATGTTAGGTATGTTTACTCCCAGTGATGAATGAGAACAGCCCCACTGCTGAGAGAGGCCCACAGACATTACCTACAAGAGGGGCAGCTTGGATTTGGAAGCCTGGGATGTTATGTCAGGAGTTTTCCCAAACTCACAGAAGCAGATTCAATACTGGGCACTCCCTTTTCTCCGTAGAGGGATCCAGACATCCAGAGTGGCATTGCTGTGACAGAAGGACCAAAAAGGTCTAAAGGACCATTACAGATGCAAGAACTTGAAGAGCATCCTGGAATTCATCTGCTTCATTTCCAAAGAAACATTCTTTGTTCATAGTACTATCTTATGTGTGCACGCCATAAGGTAAAAAAGATTCAATTCAACAAACCATGTCTAAGGCACTGTGCTAGCTGTTCATAAGAGAGGCAGCAGAATGTGGTTAAGATTATGGACTTTGGGCCCAGACTGCCTGGGTTCCAGTTTTGGCTCTGTACCTACCAGCTCTGTAACCCTGGGCACACAGACTTCCCTGTGCTTCAATTTCCACATGCACCCATTGAGAGTAATAATAACCTACATCATGAGATAGAAAAGAGGCTTACAGCCACATAGGGAAAACAAACAGATATACAGTGAGTCCCAGAAGCATCCAAACAGTGACATGTTAGAACTAAAGTAAAAAGCAAGTGCCTAGAAATTCCAAGGAGGTGGAGGTTAAGGCACATTCACTTCTAGAACACTAGCATGGTGGTAAAACAACTCTAAGATAATATAGCAAAATGATGGTCCAAGAAGACACAGAGATGAAACTTGAAGGAAAAAACAGGGACATTTATACAACCACACATTAACCCTGCTGTGCTCTTCATCTGAGCTATCTCCAAAAAATAAAATTAAATATATAATATTATATATATCAACTTATTACACACTCTTGGATTCAGAACCCCAGGTAAGTTTACTCCATCAAATTTCACAATGGTCAGCTAGTCCACACAACCAACTGCAGATCCAAACCACTAGCAAAATAATCATTATCAGAAAAGTACATATTCTCCCACAAATGTCATATAAATAGCCTTGAAAAAGAGTTGTGTTCATAGTGCCCCCCAAATCCAAATAACAGGTGCATTTGTCCTGAATTCCTCTTCCATAGTTGTCACATCAAGCTCCACTCAAAATATTGTTTTGATCACATTTCCCTCTCTTAGGGACCTAAAAATTCAACCCTGGACCGAGACAACCCATAAAAACTGTAGCAATAAAAAAGATAAAAGGTGCAGACTTTTAAAATAGGTCTGAGAATGTCGTTGTTTCCTGTAGGTAGAACTGCAATGATATAAAATCCTGGTTAGAAGCAAGGAAGCAGCTGGCATGGAAATTACTCCATTATTTATTACTGTTATTAGGTGAGGTTCTTATGCTGCATAACTCAGTAGAGAATAGCATCTATTTGATTGCATGGGATGAGAGTCTGGTCCATTATTATTAATTTGCCAGCTCTAGCCATTAAGTGACTGTTCCTTTGGTCTGTAAAAGGTAGTACATGAATAACACAAAAAGGTTTTTGTTCCATTCTCAGTAGCATAATGAATGCCAGCCACTGTACCAATAAGAAATTCAGTCACCTGCTTAGATATCTTTCTGGGCTTAAAGAGCAAATAGCACTAGGTCTAACTTGTGCCCAGGGAGAGAAAGTTTCTCCTTACCCAGGCTGTTAATCAATTCAGAATTCTGGATTTCTAGGATAGAGACTTGTGATTGTACTATGTTTGCTCTTAAAGTTTTTATCAATTTAAGGATGGCTCAGCCTTTAGCATGATTTTGTAATACCTTACTCACCCGCAATTACTGACTCAGGGCATTTACTCCTTAAGTCTCTGTTAATATAACGGAAGATTTTCGGTTTAGGCACCAAAGTTTTTGTATTTTAAACATCACTAAAAGAAATCTTGCTATAATGGTAGGCATACCTTTCATTGGTTGTTGTTTATTTTGTTTTTGGTTTTGTTTTTTTTTTTTTTTCATCTTTTGAGTGTGCTGAATCTAAGTTAAAGTTTTCTGGGTGACTCTTTTTAGATTGGGTATTATTTTAGGCCAAAGCTGCAAAGGTTAAGCCTTCTGTTCAGACCTCTGGCTCTCAAGAATATAATGAGGTCCTTGTGACCTGTCTCCAAGTGAGGAGCCCTAGAGTCCTACCCAGGGAGCTCTTGAAACCCTTCAGTGCTGAAGCCAGTTAGGGTGCCCCCTACACCCAGGGGTCTAGGCAGCTCTGACTGATCTCACATACTGCAAGCTGGCTGCTCAGGGCAGAGTTTGCTCACAATACCACGTCTCAGGACCACTGGGTCTTCTCCTGAAGGCCGTTTTCACCAGATTCCACACTTCCCACAGACACTGATTGGATTCCTCACCACCAGTGCCCAGAAACACCTCGCAGCCTCCCCACCAAGCCTGTCCTCAAGCCTCTCCTGACATCTAAACTTTGCAGACTGGTCCTCAGCGCTCTTCAAGGAAAGCCATCTCCAGTGGTCTCTGCTTGTCACCTCCTGCTTTGTGCCCTCCTTTTCCCTTTCCTGGCTCCTTCCAGCTGGGTCTCTACAGCCTCAGAGCTACTCCACTCTCTATCCACTCTGCCTGGGACAGAATATAAGTTGTTAACTTTGACCCATGGGTACATGTCAGTGAAACTCAACATTAAATCTCAAGGTCCAGGGTCCCACATGCCATTGCTGGCCTCCTTAAAGACCTCCCAAATCTCTCACATTTCACTGGACCAGGGACTGACATTTCAAGGGAAAGCCCTGGAAGCCCCTGCAGTACTGAGATTACAGACCTCCAAACTCATTGGCACTCTCTGTTTCTCTGTCTGTCTTTATCTCTCTCTCTTATACACACACACACACACACACACACACAGTGTAAGAAAATCAACCACACTACCCTTAGCATAAGCCTTTATTAGAAAATGCCTGAAATTAGATGTCTCCAAAGAAACTCATTCTAATGTGGGGAGGATGACAGAATATTTTATCTGATAGGTTTTAGCAGGAGAAGTGTTGGCTGAAGTGCAGCTACTTTGGAGGATAGAAGCACTGTACTTATAGATCAGCAGCCATTAGGCTAGATGCAGTGGCTCACACCTGTAATCCTGTAAACCTGTAGCACTTTGGGAGGCCGAGGCAGGTGGATCACTTGAGGTCAGGAGTTTGAGGCCAGCCTGGCCAACATGGTGAAACCCCATCTCTACTAAAAAATACAAAACTTACCCAGGCATGGTGGAGGGCATCTGTAAGTCCCAACTACTAGGGAGGCTGAGGCAGGAAAATCGCTTGAACCCGGGAGGCGGAGGTTGCAGTGAGCCAAGATGGAGCAGCGGCACTCCAGCTTGAGTGACAGAGCGAGACTCCGTCTCAAAAAAACTAAACAGAAAACATTAGCAGCCATTATTTGGAAATGTCTAAGAAGACATTTTATCAAGAAGAATAAAGAGGAAGAGTTGGGAATAAGGGACAAGGATATGTGAGGGTCACAATGAAAAGCTATCAAGTCCCTCAAGGTGTGTGTGTGTGTGTGTTTGTGTGTGTATAAAATTGTGGTAAAATATGCACAACATAAAATATCCCATTTTAGCCTTTTTTAAGTGTACCATTCAGTGGTATTAAGTACATTCACACTGTTGTGCAACCATAACCACCACCCATCTCCAAAGCTTTTTCATCATCTCAAACTGAAACTTCATACCCATTAAACACTAACTCTCCATTTTCCCCTTCCCCTAGCCTTGGCAACCACCATTCTCGTTTTTGTCTCTGTGAACTGGACTAGTCTAGGTACCTCATATAAGTGGAATCATACAGTATTTGTTCTTTTGTGTTGACTTATTTCACTTAGCATCATGTCTTCAAGGTGCATTCAATTGTCACATGTTTCAGAGTTTCCTCACATTTTTTTTTTTTGAGACAGTCTTGCTCTGTTGCCCAGGCTGGAGTGAAGTGGCATGATCGCAGCTCACTGCAGCCTGTACCTCCTAGGCTCAAGCAATCCTCCCACCTCAGCCTTCCCAGTAGCTGGGAATACAGGCTGCACACTTGGCTAATTTTTTACTTTATTTTATTGTTTCACAGAGACGGGGTCTTGCTGTGTTGCCCAGGGTGATCCTTCCTTTGTAAGGCCGCATAATATTCCATTGTGTGTAAATGTCACATATTGTTTATCCATTCATCCATGGAAAGACATTTGGGTTGCTTCTACCTTCTGGCCATCGTGAACACTGCTTCAGGGGAATCTACATATTTAACTTGATAAAGAACTTTCAATGAGGGCTGGCATCAAGCTGAGAGCTTTATATATGCTCTCAAAGTATCACCAAAACAACCTGTGGATACAACAAAGCTGAATTTCTTGCTCACTGCTATAAGGCATACACTACCTGCACATTCCTGGCAGTACCTCAAAGGGAGAAGGACAAAGTTGAGATATTTATAGAGGTTTCGAAGTCTGATTTAAAGTGGGTCTTTCAACACATGGGACTTAATTAGGATTGAGAAAAGATCTTGGCACAATAGTTCAAAATTACTGGGCAGAGAAAGGACAAGAATTTTGAGACAAGAAGTCCAAGAGTCTTAGGGTGTAAATTATCATTTGATCCTTTCTATTGCAGTGTTGATGGGTCTTTCAGAAAGTCTTAGAATAAATAATAGTTATTTGGAACTCTTATCTTCCCAGGCAAGAGTTTCCAGGAAGAGTAAAGTTATATTAATGGAAGCAGTGGAATAGCAAAATCTGTTTAACATAACTAGTAAGCTGTGTAGATGGTGTTGATTCTAACACTGGTGATTTCTCCAAGAACACTGGGTAGCGGTGTACTGATCATCATTCCCCAGCCACTTGCCCAGGGTCACTAAGTAAAAAAGTGGTATGAATAAGATTGGTATGCAGGCAGTCACACCAGAGCCTGTGTTCTTTGTCACTACTCAATACTGCCTCCAGATCCTACCCCTGCAAATTTTGGCAAAGTGATAAGGCTATATCTTTGCTAGGTCTCTTGGCTTTATTCTGATTAGCTACTATATAAGATGTAGGTCCAAAACTGAATTGCAGCCTGTGTCAAGAAGCTCTCACCCATGAACCTGCTGATTTGCTACCCTGACATAGCAACTCTCCTGCAGGAACAGCCTCCTCATCACTTCACTCCCTATATTGAACTCCAGCTCAATTCCCCACTGCTGTATACTCTCATCCCTATCATTTCCAGAATTACAGGTAATATTTTTTGTGTCTTTTTTGACTATCTGCCTGGACCTCTCTGATGGTCATCCCTAGAGCCCACTTCTGCAAACGCTTCATCTCCTCCCACTCCTGTGCTGCCATACACTGTGGTTTTCTGTTGGTTTAGGGCTGTGATCCACAAACAACAGTCCCTGGATAACATCTGGTCCACTGCCTATTCTTGTGTGGCTTTGCAACCCAAGAATAGTTTTTACAATGTTAAGATTGAGATAAGTCAAAAGAATAAGCTTTCATGACATATAAAAATTATATGAAACCCAAATTTTCATGTTCATAAATAGTTTTATTGGGAGATGGGAGACAGCCACACTTACTCATTTACATATTGTCCATGGTTGCATTCAATGGTAGAGGTGAATGGCTGCAACAGAGATCGTGCAGTCCACAAAACCTAAAATATTGACTATCTTATGCTTTACAGAAACAAATCTGCCAAGCCCTGGAGCAGGACCTGTGCTGCCTTATGCCTGAATTCAAGATAACCTGAACTTCAGTTTCCCTACCTTCACCAGAGCAGAACAAGCTAGCTGGGCAGATGTCCAGGTCACCGGCAAGCATGCAGTCTGCTCTTTGGAAACTTTTGGAGTCTCACCACTGTCATCACCTCTGCTGCTACACGTTGATAATCTGTTAATGTCTTGAGAGGCATGGTGAGAAGCTCCAAAGGCAAGTTACAGCTGCACTGGTCAAGTCACTCCATCCCCTGCTCCAATCCTGGGGAACCGGGAGTTGCCAAGTGACAGAAGCAGGTGAGGAAGAGTTAATTGGGTAAATAGCAAGGATAACAATCACTCCCTCTTCCCTTTGTTTCTAGCTTCTAACATTGAGAGATAGATCTTTTAATAAAATGAGACAAAAAAACTTTGTATTTAAACTGTGCTTTTATGTAGCACCTAAACGTGAGACTTGACTGTTAGAAGTGACCCAGAACACTTTTATTTCCAGGGGCTCTTGCCATAGCACAGTGATTTAAGAACAACAGAGTTAAAAGAATAAAGTTATTTTCCCACTTTGACTGTCACTCATGCAACTGGTTATTAGCAAGTTACCTGTAGCTTCCTTAGGTAGAAATTTGAACCACAACTCTACAGATTTGGGTTAGAGAATATTGGTGTTACTACAGCATTCTATATTTTTGCAGATTTGCAGCCCATCTCTACTATGATGCTGAACTGTCATGAATGACTTCTGTACATCAAGTGTGGAAAATAAAGACCACCCAGATGAGAAAAGCTAAGTCTGTTTATTCAGCGCATACTATAGCAACAGAGCCATCATCACTTGCATTTTGGCAGAGAATCAAAGAAGGCAAAGAAGTGGGAAAGTTTTATAGCAGAAAAGAGGAAAGCCTTCAGGTATGCCTTGATTGGAGCCTGTTGGCATGGGAAAGCTATAGGGTGGTTAACTAGAAGACATCCTACATGATTGGTTAGGAGAGCAAATTTGGCTTTCTCTAGTTAGTCTTAAATTAAAAGTGGGAACAAAAATTAGAGAAGCTCTCAGATATTAATCAAGTCCTGGCCATTTTGGACCGATTATTACAGAAGTTATTGTTCAGTTTCCTGGGTTGTTACTAGAGATAGTAATCTGATTTATAGCAGGCTAGCTTCCTGGGTTGCTTATTGTAGATAAGAGGGTTGGCATCCTGGTCAGGGTGCAGGTCAGAGTTCTATTTTTATATATGATCTGGCCATTGTTCACTTGTATATTCAGTCTCTCAAAAGCAAGATCTATATGAAAGCTTGTTTTTGTCTTGTTCTTCTTTGGGTTCCATAACATGGTTCTCAACATAGTGTAGGTGCTCAATACATTTGAATAAATGACTGAATGACTTCATGGTAGATGTTAGAAGTAGGAGCATCTGAGCTAATTTAATTGGATAAGCCAGATGTCACCACGCAGGGGAGAAAAACTGATGGAATTAGACATGAGAACAGGCTTTAGACATAGGGAGGTGTAACAAAATCTCTTGTCTTTGCTTCTTCAGTAATACCTATGACACCTCCAGTTTAGGTTCCACTCCCAGAAAAATCTTCCTGGTAAAATTTATCCCAAAGTTCAGCTTTGTTTTCTGGTCTTTGGGGCTCACACAGAAAATTGTGCAGTAAAATGAAACCTGACTGCTAGTTTCAAGACATGTATAGACATGAAACAGAGAAGTGTGAAGCATGGAGCACAACACAGTTTTGAAAAGACTAGATAGAGGGACAAAACCTTGAGCTGTAGAGTGACAGGAAGACAAAGGGACAGGGTGAAAGGTTATCTTTGGGGACAGTTTTGAAGGTGAATGCTACTCTACTCAACAGCCCTTCTATCTACAACCAAATCTCCACAGCACCTGGCCTCCATTTATATTTCCTAACTCATTTCTTTATTCCTGGGTAGGAAACCAGCAGGCAGCCAAACTGGCTACCAAAATATACTTTTTTTTTGTAGTTTTTATCTTCTTAACTTTCCCTCATGACATCTTTAGCTTGCCTGCCTTAAAGTTCCTCTTCTTCTCCTTTTCAGGTCATTTCCTATTCTACCTATCTTTCTTGACCCAGCCCAAAGCCAGTCTTTAAGATGCTTCTCTGACCAGCTAAACTGAAAATTGCATGCCCCTTCTCTCCACGCTGATGACACTCATGCCATTACCATTTACTTACTAGTAGGCACTTTCTGTTTGGCTTTGTTTTATTACCTTATCTTGTGTAAATGCCCATCTCTACCACTAGTCTCAAAGATGAAAGAGGTGCTGGCTTACAGTTCCTTGTACTGTCACAGTCTTTCTATCAGAGTTTTGCACATGGTAGGGAAATAGTAAGTGATGGCTTATTGTGGCAATTATTAAGGGTTACTGGCACTTGAGAGATGAGTTTTAACATTAAGGCTTAGCTTAAATTAGTAACATGCACATGGATTCCCCCAAATGAGCTCATGATGTTTATTTATTATATATCAAATGAATTGTTTCTATAAAACGATGTTTCTTTTCCTCCTTAGAATTGGCCATCAGGTTTCCTGTGTTTTTCCAAATTCGGCAATATTAGCTTTAACAACAATTATCATTTAGGAAACCATCTGCCAATATATGTTTTTATATACCTTTCCTCCATTGAGTCCAGTGAGCTTTGCCAAACTGTTTCCAAAAGTAGTCTGTTACTTTAATTCACTTTTAACCAGTATGATTATCATAACTTTAATTCCTTCTTCTTACAATTGCTCTACTAACATAAATAAAATTATATTCATTGTTCTCAAAATTCTTATTTATAAAATATGGTACAATCACTTTTCCTCCCCAAAGACTAGGATTTAACACCATTTTTCTGTTATTTTTCTTTAAAATGTGGTTCATGTTGTCACATTTATAAAATTGATTTATACAAAATTTAGTCAATTTTTACTAATTTCATCTGAACTATTCTCTATATATCTATTTATTTGTTTACATTTATTGAAACAAAACATAATCACATCTACCTAAAAATTTTATTTTTATTGTTGTTTCAAATTTCTTGATTGGTTGGTTTAATTGTCAAGTAAATGAACCAAGTATTTTGGCACATGGTATCTGTGTATGAAGACTCACAATGATAGTGTTTTAAAGCATAGGATGAAAATAAGTTAAGATTCCCTAAAGATTAGAATGGTTGATTGCTATAGAAAATTATTTGCTCATTTTGAGCTAAGGAATGAAAGAAAGGCTGTAAAGGAGGTGCTCACTCAGCCTTAACATCACTGAGCCCAACTGAACCATCATCACACCTGTGATTAGAAACCTTCATCATCAATCACCAATTATAGCAGATAAGAATATAGAAGTTAATGATGCCAGTCGTGACAATTGCTGAACACATTTAAATGAGGTGCAGCATCTGATTGAATTGCCAGATAACTTTAAGGATTTCAGTAAATTCCTCTTCTAGTATAAAAATAAAAGTGGAAGGAAAGCACCCCAAAACTATCATGACAGACATATTTGCAAATCAATACTTAAAATAGAGATTTATTGTAGAGAAAAAAGGAGTAAAGCTTTTTGGTTTTGTTTTTGCTTAACATACAAAAAAAAAAAAGTAAACCAAAGCTATAGAGGCAAATGAAAATAATGTGACTAAATTATGCAACTTGAAAAATGAAGCAAAGGACAGATACCCAGAAAATTTGCATGGAATACCAATTTCACTGTCCGAATGAAAAATTAGACTAGAATAACAATGAAAACAAATCCTAGTAGGTAAAACCACAGTGGATTTGTTTGTGTCAGGTCACATCTGCCGAGCCCAGAAAGCCTGCTGAGGACACTGGTTAATAGTAAACACCTTTTTGGAGCTGCCTGTCACAAGGACCACATCAGGGAATTCCCCTTAATAAAATCAGTAACTTTATTTAAAAAAAAAAAAAAACTAAAAACTAAAGTCATCAACTTATATTTAAATTTCAAAAAGAGAACTAGCTTTTTAAAAAAATTACAAACAAATGTATAAATCTAGATTTTGTATGCTATACTGGATCTGCTTAAGGTGCCACATGCCTGTATTTAGAATATGTCCCACAAATAAAAATAATATTCTATGAATGCAATAAAAAACAGAGATATTGGCTAGCTGTTTTGCTTAATCTGTAAAGTGAGATATGAAAAGCTGATATAAAAAGAATAACCATAGCATTAACAATACTGATGTCATGGCAGCTGGCATACCTACAATGTTTTAGGCCCTAAACTACATTTTCTACCGTCACTGTCACGTGGCGAGCCACATATTGTGCAATATGCTTTAGCAGGCATGTTGCTAGTAAACTGAAGAAGCACTTGCTTGATGGGAAAAAGAAAGGATGAAAGAAACGACCAGAGCAAACTTGAGGTCAAACACAAAATCAAAGTTTATGATTTGGCTCTCAGTTTTATTTCAATAACTGAGAAGGAACGAAAAAGAAGCAGTAAAGCAAAACAAAGTAGAATGCACTCATTTGGAGCCAGGAAAATGTTTTTGAAGGAATCTTTGGGGTGGAAGTGCTTAGTCACAATACTGGTTGCATAAGGAGTGCTACGCAAGAAAAATAACTCGATCTTGGGGGAAGAGCTCTCCCGTGTGGTGTGTCCCTCCTGTCACTGTGAGGACCACAGTCATGGTTGTGAAACCAGCCGGCAACTCAGGCTGCCCTGGTGCCACAGAGCTCCAAGTCCAAGAAGTAAGACCAGCAGCGTGTTAATCTTATTAATCCCAAAACTGGCTTTATTTCTGCACTGGAGAGGAAGGATAGGGGGTTTCTATTACTGACTAGGAATCTGAAACCCAACTTTGTGGTTCCCAAAAACCCAGTTCAGAAAACCTTATTTAAACATTTATTTAACTCACCTGCTTAACTCAGTCCCCATCCCCTCCCCTACCAGGAATCAAGTAACTCAGAATCGATGGATGCATTTTATGTCTTCCTCAATCATACAAGCCACAAATGGTTACCTAAGGGCTAATTTTGCACCGGCCCTTCCTATAACTCCCTAGTAGTGGAACATCGGCCCTGTACACGCAGGACAGGGGTCAGGAGAGCCAACAGTTGGAGGTTTAGACTTTGAGTACTAAAAAGCTCATTTTCAAACATTTCATCTGATTTCTCTTTCCTGATAGAAGTTTTCTGGGGGGATTTTTTTCCTCAGCTGTTATCTATTTCTAACAAAAACTTTAGAAAAATTTTCCTGTATAGATATTTCACCATGGGAAACATTTATTATAATAAGAATTTAAGTGTATATTTAGGAGTCCTTATGCAAGTGAGCAGCAACTAGTTTATTCAATTAATTGAACAGCTGAGAACTACAAATGGTTTTTTATGTTATACCAGTTAGAGTTTATTTTACTTATAAAAAACAAATGTGCAACTTAAACTATCTTTTACCGTAATGGCCTTTATTCATTCCCTTGTGTAATTGAAACATTCAGCATGTTCTGGGTTCCCTGCAAGAGTGGATTCAGCAACCCAGCAATGCCGCAGAGGCTCCTGGTCCCTCCATTTCTAGGCTTTGTCTTGCAAGGCAGCAGCCTCATCCTCTGTCTTGCTCTTGATCCAGGGTGGCTGCTGTCATTCTTCGTCAAGACGTCGAGACCTGTAGGGGCTCACTTTTCTTCCCGCAAACATAGAACCGAAGTCTTGTACTTCATGCAAGTGATCCAGTTCAGGTCAGATAACTACTCTAAACCAATCACTGTGGCCAAGGGGAAAGGACTTTGCTAGGTACCTTACCCTAGTCCAGGTCAGAACTGAATGATGCGCAGTGGTAGTCATTTCCAGGGGCAGCACTTGGTGATATTGACAGGTCTTGGCAAAATCTGATCATGAATCTGTTCTATTTGGTATTTGAAAAAAGGACTGACTTATCTTTTAGAAGTAGACTGAGTTGGCTTCAGATTCTTTAAATTGATCAGGATAAAGGCAGAAACAGGTGAAGGGAGAGATGTTGCTTCCCGAGGGAGACCCTGGACTTCCTATTAACAGGGTATGTGAGATGTCAAGTAATAATAAGAAAAAAACAGCTAAAATGGAAGATATGTAGCCCTAATGGTAATCTGGTTTTCTGCAGTAGGTCATAGAAGTTCCAACAGGCTACTGCTTGGACATGTAAGTTTTGTGAAATAGACAAGATTTATCCATTAAGTAATTGTCCTTATTGGTTGGTACACACCCTCTTCTGTCCCTGAAACTGGTGGAACCAAACTGTTGAGAAGCAGACAGGTCATGCTTCTCACAAAGCAGGAGCTGCCATCCCTAGCAACTATGGCTGGACCAGACTATGTCTGAGTTAAGGGTGACAGAAGACAAAAGCTTAGAGACATATTCAACTAAAGAAAGTATACAGGGAAAGGAATGGGGCCTGGTATTATGATCAGAAAAGAGATTGAGACAAAATAGAAAAGGAGATGGTGGGACATGAAAAGCTGCTGTATGGAAGTTGTCTTGGGCATCCTAGAGCAACATTCTACTGCTTCTGCTGCTGCCAGTCAGGATTAGTTGTTTGTTATGAGGACCTTGCTTCTACCACTCCGCACTGACCATACCAGTTCATGGAGCAGGAACTGGAAAGCATTCTGAACCTAGGAGGAAGGCAATGCTCAGTCTCCACTGCCATTTCTCATTGGCCTAGGCATGGGCCTTGGCTTTGAGGTGCTGAGTCTGGGGGAGCCGTTTCCTGGCCATGATGAAGCCAGGGGTCGGTATGTGTAGACAGTGCTAAGGAGGCCACCCAGTGCAGTTACCAGGCCAACATCCATCACGCAGCCTCTGACAGCAGGACCACCGGGCTGTGACATTGTATTTGTTTCCCAGGGCTGCTATAACAAAGGACCACAAACTAGGCGGTGGCTTAAAACAGCAGAAATGTATTGTCTCACAGTTCTGCAGGCTAGAAGTACAAAATCAGGATGTCAGCAGGGCTAGTCTCCCTCTGAAACCAGCAGGTGAACATCCTTCCTTGCCTCTCTCTGGCTTCTGGTGGTTTGCTGAGAATCTTTGGCATCCTTTGGCTGGTGGCTACATAACTCCAGTCTCTGCCTTCATCATCTGTCACATGGGGTTCTCTCTGTCTCTGTCTTCACATGACTTTCTTCTTACAAGGGCACCAGTCATAAGGGCTAGGGACCAACCTCACTCTAATATGACCTGAACTTAAATCATTACATGGGCAACAACCCTATTTCCAAATAAGGCCACATTCTGAGGTTCTGAGGTTAGGGCTTCAACATATCTTGTTTGGGGAGGACACAATCCAATCCATAACAGATACTAACTGAAATGAAGGAAGTTTAGCAAAATAAAAAAAAAAATAATGCCTATCACATGGAAGCAAAGATATATATTTGTTCTCTGAATCTGGAATGCTGCAAAAATTGTGTACCTGTATGATTTAAAGCTAGATCATTCCGATGTCATCAGGCTATCTCGGTTCAGTCAACGGCTCTGCAGAGAATCCCAAAGTCAAGGCTCACTGATGGCTCTTCAGAATACAGAGGGTAAAGCTCAAGAAATTATATTCTGATGCCAAGCATTTGGATCAAGTTTGGCTGGTCAAAGAAGAAGAAACAAGAGAATAGCAAAATCAAACAGAAAATCACTAGTCCTGAAGCTTTTCAAGTTCATTAACCGTACAATGGAAAAAAAACAGCAACAATATTTGCTATCTTAATAGCATCATTAGCTTTTTTAGAAAATGGGGGGAAAAAGTAAGGGGTAAACATGTCTAAGATTCCAGATCAAAATAAATTTTGTGTTTCTGTCTTTATAGGTATTTGCATATTTTTAAACAAAGTCTGTCTTTATTTATTTATTTATTTAAGAGACAGGGTCTATTACCCAGGCTGGAGTGCAGTAGTGTGATTGTAGCTCACTGCAGCCTCAACCTTCTGGGTTCAAGCAATCCTCCCACCTCAGCCTTCTCAGTAGCTGGGACTACAGGCACATGCCACCACACTCGGCTAATTTTTTGTATTTTTTGTAGAGACAGGGTTTTGCCATGTTGCTCACGGTGGTCTTGAACTTGTGGGCTTAAGCGATCTACCTGCCTCGGACTCTAAAAGTGCTGGGATTGCAGGCATGAGCCACCGCACCTGACCTGTCTTCTCTTTAATATATATATATAGATAGATAGATACATAGATAGATAGACCATATGTACATAAATAGTATTCTCTTTTAGATAATCTTGATCAAAGCACAAATTCTCACATAATATTTAGACTCATTTTCAGCTTTAATTTCAAAATAAAATTCACAAGGGATTTTAAATGTAGGTGTCTATGTATGAAATAGATCAAAAATGTAAATTAAAAGACATTGTTTGTGAGACTAAACAGAGAAGGAAATTTTCTTTTTTTTTTTGAGACGGAGTCTCACTCTATTGCCCAGGCTGGAATGCAATGGTGCGATGTCAGCTCACTGCAAACTCCACCTCCCAGGTTCAAGCGATTCTCCTGCCTCAGCCTCCTGAGTGGCTGGAATTACAGGCATGCACCACCATGCCCAGCTAATTTTTGTGTTTTTAGTACAGACGGGGTTTCACCATGTTGGTCAGGCTGGTCTCGAACTCCTGACCTCGTGATTCACCTGCCTCAGCCTCTCAAAGTACTGGGATTACAGGCATGAGCCACCACACCTGGCCAGGAAGTTTTTTATAACAGTAAGATTAGGCCTGTGAAATTTAGTCATACTCAAAGGCATTGTCTGATTTGTTTTTTAAATGTCTTTATTAGAATTTAAAATAAGATATTTGAGTGTTTGATACGGTATTCTTTAAAGAATACCATACTGAGAGAATACACCTAAGTGGCTGGTACTGGATTTAGAGTATGTCTTTCTACAATTCATTTAATTTCGTTTATATAAACTCTGATGTTGATTCCTGCAACGACTATAGATTCTGAAGCTGGCCCCCCAGTCATCAACACAAGTTATGCACACCGAGCAATCTGGCCTTGAAGGAGCATAATGGCTTTAATGAGTAGGAAATCACTTAGGAATTTTGACACATGGTGATATGCTTAAGCAATTAGGCCTGTCCTTCGCTAGGAGGCTCTGCTGTTAATATGACAATGAAATTGACTATGTCACTTCAACCTTCTAATGGCTTGAAGCAACTTTGCTCATTGCCCATCAACACCAGTCTGAATCTTACTTTCTAGGGAAAGCGCTTGGCTGCAGGCTGACTTGAATTTGTGTTGGGGATCAGCTGTAATCACATGGGCGTGATTTATTGGTTTTCTATCTAGTGCTTTCTGTTTGTACTGAAAATATGCAATTTGTTTTCCTTCTGAAACAATCAAAGTGAATTATTTTAAATTGATGCCTGCTTAACTCATACGGGTGGCTCAACCTGTCAATGATCAAAAAGTCACTTAAAAGCATAACGCATGGCAGCCCCCTCCCCGCCCACCAAGTATTTGGTCTAGACTGTTGTTTACACTGACTTTCTTTATTCATGTCCCCACCATCTGATGTCTCTGGAAGATGCTCAGAAATATGGCAAGAGGTAGAGGAAGTGAGTCTTGGAGTTTTTATTGGTTGAGTAACCAAAAACAATGTACTGTGGTCAAATCAGCCAGAACTCTATAGACAGCCTACAGATTTTAAGATTTCTAAGAGAAATAGTCATGTGAAAAATGACTTGCCCTACTATAAAGTAGAAATACTGTCAGCCCACAAATGATCAACTCTGCCAAATACATTCCTATTAATTTGAGTCACAAACATGTATTAAGCACCTGTGCTGTGTACTGGCATTGCAGTGGTAGATCAGACAGAACATGCAATTCCTAGTCTTAGGGGCATATGACCTACAAATAAATATTCAGTTCCTACCTCCCCACCCACCTCATTCTATCCCTTTTTTCTATCCATTGTGTGTCTGTCTCATTTTTGATTTACCTATCTTTACCCCAGCTTGGTATACAAGTAAGCTCAATATACATTTTTTATTTGAAAAGACAGTGATTTGCAGATAACAGAAATAGCACCAGTCTCACTCTTTCAATATAAAATGATAGCACTACAAAAATGAAGATTTTTTTCAGCCTATAAAAGCAATACCTAATTATTGGGGGGAAAACATGGAAAAGAAATAGAACAACAAAAAATAAATAAAAATTTCTTGCAATCCTGTCTCTGAGAAAATCTCACTAAACCTTTTGGTATATTTCCTCTCAGATTTTTACCTTATCACATCTATATTCATTTTTTCACTTAATGCAAGATTATTTTCTTATATGTTTAAAATTATTTTTAAAAAATCATCTTATTGATTAACTAAGAATTTACCATGTATAATTTATTTAATCATTCTCAAAAAATTACTATAATACAGAGTAGTCAATTTAAAAAAATAGGAAAAAAGGCTTTGTTTTTGTGCAAAGGTCCTTTTAGTAAAAGGTAAAAAAAAAAGTGGGGGGGATATCTACTTTCTTTTTTTTAAGTGTCTTTTAAAAGCCATCATATAAATCAAGATACATTCTTTTTTTTTTTCTTCCCTTACCATGGCATCTGTATAATGTCTATTGAAGCCCGCCTTTGACATTTATGATTGTAGGTATAACACAGATGGCAGGGAAGGAGACATAGGCCAGAGAGCTAGTTCACATCTGCCCTGGGGAGCCAATTTACTCTGTCGTCATAACGGTACCTCAAGGCTCTGTAGTAAACACTTGTCTAAGGTCTAAGGCATAGGATACAGAAAATGGTAAAATAAAAACCAATTACTAGGTGGCAGAAAAAAAGGAAAAAGAGAAAGAAGGGAGAGAAGAATAAAACAAGGAAGAAAGGAAAGAAGGAAGAAAGGAAGGAAGGAATGAAAAGGAAGGAAAAGGAAGGAGAAGGAAGGAAAAGGAAGGGAAGAGAAGGGAGGAAGGAAGGAAGGAAGGAAGGGAGGGAGGGGAAGGAAAGGGAAGGGGAGGAAGGGAGGAAGGAAGGAAAGACGGACGGAAGGAAGGAAGGAAAGGAGGAAGGGAGGAAGAGATGAGGGAGAAAGGGAGGAAGGAATGAAAGAAAGAAGGGAGAGCGGTAGAGAAAAGGAAGGAAAAGAAAAGAGAGGAGGGGAGAGAAAAGGAGAGAAGGAAAAGGGGAAAGACGGAGGGGAAAAGGTAGACATTTGCTAGCTATGACTCCAGAACCAACTTGCTGTTGTGACTGTAGGTGAAATAATTATCTTCCAAAACCTGCAGTTTCCTCCTATATAAAATGAACACAATCATAGTACATATTGAATAGTGTTAGTTGATTAAGTGACTAAAGTTAAATGCCAGATGCATCTTAAAAACTAAACACAGGCCGGGCGCGGCGGCTCACACCTATAATCCCAGCACTTAGGAAGGCCAAGGTGGGTGGATCACTTGAGGCCAGGAGTTTGAGACCAGCCTGGCCAACACGGTGAAACCCTGTCTCTACTAAAAAATACAAAAATGAGCCAGGCATGGTGGTGCACGCCTGTAATCCCAGCTACTCAGGAGGTTGAGGCAGGATAATCGCTTGAATCCAGGAGGCAGAGGTTGCAGTGAGCCGAGATTGTGCCACTGCACTTCAGCCTCAGTGACAAAGTAAGACCCTGTCTCAAAAAAAAAAAAAAAAAAAAAAAAAAAAAAAAAAAAACCCTAAATATATGCTAATTATTAATATTATTGCCATTATGGAAAAAAAAAATTTTTCAGATGGAGTCTTGAGTCTTGCTCTGTTGTCCAGGCTGGAGTGTAGTGGCACGATCTTGGCTTACTGCAACCTCTGTCTCCTGGATTCAAACGATTCTGCTGCCTCACCCTCCCGAGTAGCTGGGACTGCAGGTGGGCACCACCATGCTCAGCTAATTTTTTGTATTTTTAGTAGGCAGAGTTTCACCATGTTGGCCAGGCTGGCCTCGAACTCCTGACCTCAGGTGACCTGCCCACCTCAGCCTCCCAAAGTGCTGGGATTACAGGCATGAGCCACCGTGCATGGCTGGAAATGTTTATTTTAAAACAAAACTGCAACCTAGATTTGACGTTTCCTCTCCAAGATGAATATACCTGTACAATTCTATTGATAATCAATCAGATTGCCTTAACTAAATGATAATATAAATCTTGTGAATGGACGTGTGTGTTTTATCCACGGTCTGCTTGAACAGTCCCATAGGTATACTCATTAAGGATGGTGTTTCCTGGGCTTCATCCAGATTTCCTGGTTCAGAATCAGAAGGGAGAAAATAGTGATCCAAAACTCAATCTTCTTAAAACTATTTCTCAGGTGATATTATGCATGCCAAAGTTTGAGAAACTCTGAAACATCTTCACCTAGAAAAAGTTTAAACAGAAATCTTTTCCGTAAATATTGTAGCGGTTGCTGCAGCAGATTCAGTGAGTGCTGTTTACGAAAATGTCAGTAGACAGGGTGAATTCCACATAGGCTCCTGTGAATTATTTACAGGATAACTAGTAGAGACTCAAGAGTTTTTATATAACCTTTCTGTATACCAAAATATCTTCTGAAATTACTGTGGAAGAATTTCACCAGTCATAGACCAACCACATATATCCGCAGGCACCACCACCCACGACCACACACACACACACACTCTCTCTCTCTCTACTGAGAATAGTAGCCTGGATGTGATCATTACCCCTGCAATCTCCACTGATTTCAGTGGGGGGTAAAAATCTAGCATTCTAAATAAATTATCCTACTTACTCTTACTCACTTCATAAGAAATTAAAAATATATTCTTCCAAAAAGTATATTTCTAAATGGGAATTATAGAATCAAAATTGCAAAGCTATATAGGACATTAAAAATACTTCAGTTGTTAGTCAATATTGTTCAGGGCTTATTACTCAGGTTTTGTAGCAAGACTGCCTTCCAAGCACTGGCTCTGTTACTATTGGGTGTAGGCCCATGATCTCACTGTGCCTCAGTTTCTCAGCTGTACTGTGAGGACTACTCTACTACCTATCTCACACGGTGTTGAAAGGATTAAATGAGTCATTATGTATAAGATGCTTAGAATTTTGCTGACAGATACTAAGTACTCAGAAAATGTTTATTATGATCAACTCTTCTTATTTAATTCAACAATCACATCTTATAGCTAAGAGAGTTCACTGAGGACCAGAGACACAAAACAATTTACCCAGGTCACACGAGAAAGCCAGGAGCAGGACCTGGATTCCAAATTCTAAGTTAAATATCTTTCCAAATGTGCCTTGCTGAATTCTCGGAAGATAATTCTGTTTTTGTTGGTTTATATCTAAACCTTACCCTTTGCCTTGAAACCTATAAACCACCATATGAACAGTTAAAAATAACTTTGCTTCTCCATGACACATCCAAAAACTATCACCACCATCATCTCTCTGTTTATGAACAAGATAATTTCCTCAATAATTTAATTCAGAAGGAATTTTTACAAGTCTCATATCTATAGAGCTGTGAAAGCACATATTGTTGTTATTGAAATATGGAAGCAAAAAATCAATGTGGAAAATGAATTGTGGTATAGCCTTGCTGTGGCTCATAATTGGGTTCTTTTCATGTATGCTAATTGCTTGATCACCTATTATAGCTTGGGCCTAATTTTATTCATAGTTTTTCATCCTTCCTCTGGGAAATGTATGGATGGTTCTGGCATACATCTCCTTCTCTTTTGAAATCCCTACGACCAACAATCCATTTAATTATTTTTAGTAATGACTTTGGTGAATGCATTAGACATACTGCAATTTTGCGGCTCATTCTGGATTTGGTTGTTTTGCTATTGCTAAGTTAGAATATCATCCCCAATGTTCTCTTTTGGCAGTGTTTTGGTAATGCCTAAAAGATACTTTGGGGATGTTCTGAGATGCATGTTAGTTTTCTTTCCCCATTCCAAAATAGTGTTTATGGCTTCATGTCTATTTCTGCCTCTGGGTTACAACCTCAAGAGAACCAGAGGTTGACAATTTGGCCACATGGTGATGCAAACAGAAATGCCATTTTAAGTATTTTCTTCACCCTGACTTCCTCCATGTCCTTCATCTTGGTTCCTCCTATTTCAGTGACCCACCCAGGCCTTTCATGTCCTTAACGGATATGGTAACTTTCTTTACTTCCCAATACCCACAATAAAAAATTTTTCCTACCTCTATAAATTACTCCCTTAAGGTTATGATAGTAACTAAAGCTAATCATATATGTTAATATTTAGAGCATTTAGAACAGTCCCTAGCACACAGTAAATGATATATAATATTTGGAAAATACAAATTAATAGCCAGGCACCATGGTGCACACCAGTAGTCCCAGCTGAGGAGCACAACAGCTAAGGCGGGAGCATCACTTGAATCCCAGAATGTGAGGCCATCCCAGGCAATATGAGTTCCCATCTCTCAAAAAAAAAAATGTTCTAAGGTAAATCTATTAAATAATTTATAAGTTCTTCCATAAGAATATGTGCTTGTTTCAAAACAAGGAGTTTTAATAACATAACGCAAAGGGTAGGAATTTTTATACTAAGACCACAAAGTAGAAATTTTGGTAATCCTAAAAATACATTTGATAGCAACTACTTACTCCAACTCTTTTAGTTCCAGGTTACATCCCTCGGAATGTGATCAGAAAGAATGCATGACAATGGAGAAGTAACACTTCCCACTCTGGTCACTCTGCCTTTCCACTGCCATAGACTCCCACATTTCTCTCACTTTAACAGAGCCTGACTATTGAAACCTTATGACTCTTGCCCTTATTCCATCACCGCTCTCTCATATACAGTTAGGATATCTTCCAGGAGCTCAGGTCTGGTTATACCATGATGCTTATCTACATGTGACATGGGCACAAATGGTGATAAGATCTTGTATCTAAGAGGGTCGTAACTTTTCTACAAGATGATCCACAATCTCAGTGATAGTCATCATATTAAAACATAGAAAAATAATTTGCCCTCTTATTCTTATTTCTTAGGTGGTTTTATATTTTGGATTATCTTATTTCCTCCTCTCTTCTTCCTCATGTCAGCAGTAGAAATAGACATATGTATAAAATACTTTAGAAGCAGAATGAAGGAAAGAATTATTTCTACCTGTTTGGGTTCAAGATAGTCTTTAAATGGAAGATATGTGAGTTGAGCCCTGAAGTAGGGGTCACAGTCTGTGAGTGCAAGATTGAGGACTTTCTAGGTAGGGGAAATTTCCAGTCTGTAAGTTTGATTTCAGAAAAGACTTGTGGTAGGCAGAATAATGACCGCCCCAAAGATGTCTACATCCTAATCCCCAGAACCTGCGAATGTGTTATGTTACAAGACAAAAGAGAATTAAGATGGCAGAAGGAATTAAGATTGCTCATCAGCTGACCTTTAAATAGAAAGATCTGCCTTGATTATGCAAGTGAGCCCAATGTAATTACAAGGGTTCTAAAAGTAGAAGAGGAAGACTCAGAGTCATGCCATGTGAGAGGGACTCAAGCTACCATAGCTGGCTTTGAAGATGGAAGAAGAGGCAACAAGCTAAGGAATGCAGGAAGCCCCTAAAAGCTGGAAAAGATATGAAAATATATTCTCTCCTAGAGCCTCCAAAAAGAAACACACCCCTGCTGACACCTTGATTTTAGCCCATGCAAGACTTCAGACTTACAGAACTATAATGACAATAAATTTGTGTTATTTTATGCCACTCACTTTGTGACAATTTCTTGCCACATCAAAAGAAAACCAATAAAAATACTGTTATTTAACTGTAGCAAAAGTCATGTTCTCCTTGCAACACCCCTCAAGTAGGATTTACACCTGTGCAGAGAGAATAAGGAGGCAGGAGCAAAGGCGTTCTTTTGTTTTGAGGTTTCCTCTGTTTTGTCCCAAGCACATTTTCCACTCAAGTTGAAGTTACTTGGGTAAACATTGTGCTTTCCTTTTCTTTGGCAAGGGGAAGTCTCTGCCAGGTGGATAGACTAAATAATGTCTCTGAGTAACTTTCCAGCCACAAGCTTTACCCCCACCTACTGCAAGCTCTTCAGCTTGGAAGCCAAATGGACCCCAAGAGACCAGTTCAGAAGTCTACATTCCTTCATTCCTTTGGGCTCCCCAGCATGCACTACTTGGCTGGTTTCTGACTCCCTCTTTCTTCCTGTGACTTAGGAAGTGTATATTCCCTACTCCTTACTCCTATCTGGGTTTCCAATCATTGACTCAACTTAACTTCTGGAATGGAATTGGTCATAGCCTAGCTTCCCTTCAAACACCCAGCCGGAGATAAGAGGTTGAGTGCAGGTAGTGATCCTAGGGAAAAGGCATGGGGGCCTAGGAAGAGTGAAATGAGAAGGTGAGAAAGGAAACTCAAGGGTGTGTAGCAAGCTGATCATCGCTGTGAACAACCAAGCCTCAATCCCCACTAACACCCAAGAGACAGAGGGAGTTGTCCCTACGGTTGTGCACACCCAGGTTTGTGCAAACTTCGAAATGGCTGCCTGGGCCCAGCAGATGTCCCATGAGGTGATAGACTGCAAGCTGAACAGTGGTCCAGCTGTGAGGAGATCCTGGTTGCACCCACTTGCAGCTGGTTGTCATAGCAGTGGCTGGAGTAAAGAGGAAGGCTGGCCTCTCATCATGAGAGGCAAGGCATGGAGACCCTGACACAGATTGCCTCCAGCATTATGATTGCAGGTCACTGACCTATATTGTCACCCAGACCTTCATTTGTCACATTGCCTGACTTCCAGATCACATCCCAACCCTGTTTTCAGTGCACTACCCTTGGACTCAAAGCTTCCTGAAGGCCTTCTATAAATGTGGCTCTCAACTAGGCCCCATAAACACAGGAGAAACCATCCCTGCTCATCACAACCAAATATATTGTCTGCTATGAAGTGCATGCTTATTCACATAAACAGACTCACATCCTTCCAAGGCATCCACTTCCTCTAAACCAAGAAAAGGATAAATGCAGCCACCCTGCCATTGTCTCTCAATAAGAAAACGCAATAAACAGATAAAGAAAGCTTGTACTTTTCAATGTGCCCTTTCATAGTATTCCATTGTTCTCTGTGTTTCTTTAGAGTGTTCTTAAAGAAAATTATAGATTTGGTAACTCTTTTGACACAAAAGACCGAAAAAGCCATAATGTTCTTGGTCAAAGCTGTTAGCTCCTTTGGGTCTTATTGAAATGATCAAACAAGTCCAACTGAAGGATCAATTTTAACATTCTTTTTTTCTAAACCTTCTTTGAAGCTAATATTTAAGGGTCTTAGCAGAGGCTAACAGCAGTAAATTGAGAGTTTATGTGAATTTGGTGATAGAGAATTATTCAACTGAGTAGCCCACCTGAGCTGAATTCCATGACCATCATCCTATTTGAAAAAGCCAACTCTGTTCCCTCTGTGTCCCCTCAGAGAGTTTCTCTGCAAATGCCTTAAGCAGCATCCTCCGGCACTGAAATGGTGGCTCCCCTGCAGCAGGCTGCTGCCATGCACAGCTTTTGATCTAACGACTCATGCCAGACCATGTGCAAAGCTGCTATGCTAATTTCTTTCCTCCAAGCATTCTGTGTCCCCGGTGGCAGGCACCATACAACGTTCAGAAACGTTTTCCTTAACTGGTACATGAAGCTCAGAAGATTGCTGTTAATTGCATGGTACATATTGATTACCCTTGCTCCTGGAGTTCATAATTTTGCATATTGCAAGTCAAACTAGGCATATCCTGACTTCTCACAAAGAACCAGCCTTCACAGTTTTCAATTCATTTTTCTTCCTTTCTTCCTGCTCTTCTCTCTCTCCCTTTCTCCTTTATCCTCTGCCTCCTCCCTTTCTTTCTTATCGTTCTCTATTTCTTCTTTCTTCCCTAATTCTCTTGCTTCCTTCCTTCTTTTCTTTCCTTCTTTTATTGCTTCTTTTTCATTCTCTCCTACACACATACACAAAACTCATAATGCCATCTCCCTATTTCTCATTCACACATAAATGAAAAACTTCCTGGTGATTACGACAATTCTATTTAAAAAGCAGACATCAGATTCATCTCATATTCTTAAATGTCATTTCTAAATGTCATCAAGCATTAAACTGGATTTTATTTTTAAATACATGTTTTTGAGAGAAGAACAAAGTATTATTTATCAATTAATTAGCTGCTTGGTGTGTTCAAGAAAAGTGGTGGAACATTCACTAGTAAATCTATAAAGCAAAAATCCTTGGAGAAGCTCATGTGCTATGTAATTAGAGCTAATTAACACATTTGCTAATTGACTATTATTTAGCACTCCAGCTGCTGAAGAAAAATCCATAGGCCCATTAAATATTAATCAGCAAAAGTCTATTGTCTGATCCTGTCAGCTTCTGTATTGAGGAGATTTTACAAACACAGCTTTGTTAGGCTGGATACAGAGCAACACATAGTAGATGGCTATTGAGGAATAAGAAAATGAGAATCTCATAATAAGCACATAGTCCTGTATTTCATTCAATTACTTTTTCCTCATTCAGCTGATTGTATTACCAAAAATACCAGAAATAGCATATTCACATTGGTTTGCAGAGCTACCAACAATCTTGAAATTTATGTGGCTCTCATTGTATCAAATTCTTGGTATTTTCTCGGCAGCCTATGTGACATACCCTTTAGAAAACTAAAGGAAAGCTCACCTATTGTAGAAAAAAAATGCTCTCCATAGCCTTTTTTTAAGGATCCAATAGATCCAATGGTACCTTTATAGCTTTTTAAAAACATATTATTGAGAAATAATTCACATACCATACGATTCACCGATTTGAAGTATATAATGCAATGGCTTTGGGTATGTTACATTATTAATCTTTAAAATGTTTAAAAATTAATTAAATTTAAAATATATATAACAAAATCTGTCATTTTAACCATTTTTAAATGTACAATTCAGTGGCATTACTTACATTAATAATGTTGTACAACCTCTCCATACCTTTTATTAGATTGGCTTCAGTCTCCTTGTGACTTGTGACTAAGGCACAATCTAGGAAACCATCCACTGGCCCTTCCTACTCTAAAGAGCTGCCACTCCATTTCCATGCAGCAAAAATGTATCACTGCTCAGTCAGCAGTACCGACCCTTGTGAAAATTGTTCTCTAACAGAAGCTACTTTCTGTAGCACTTATCCTGTTTTCTCCTTTCTTAGTTAACTCTGGCTGTGATGTTCACAGTTGGCCAAGCAGTTGTTCTGAACAAGAGCCATGTGCCCTTTCTCCTGCCTCCCAGGTGAGAGTCCCTGGCAATCTCCAGTTTGGTCAAATTGCTAGAAGCATCTCCAGCTATCCCAAGATTTCATGTGACCTATACCTTTTTCTCCCTATTACTTGCCACACAAAGGTCACCTCATCCTTTTTCCACGGGAGGCCTAGTAAGACAACAATCACATCAAAGTAATCACAATGAATATAATAATTTTATTTACTAGCAATGTAGCATCCATTTTCAGGAGTTCTGCAGAAGTTCCCCAGGTAATTAACTGCTTTCTTTCTTCCTTTAGCAATCCTGGAAATACCAAGCACGGGGAACAGAAAAGCTTACACTTTCCACAGAATTCTATTAATGTGTTTAATTTTTATTAAAAGAAAACAAAACACCTTCCAACAATATCAATTTTGTTGTTGTAATATGAAGCTGGAATAATAATAACTAAAAATTATTTTTAAATTGTGGAAGATTTCTGACAGGCACTAAGGCTAAGTGACTCATATTACATCTCATTTAATTCATAAGAGCCACAGAGGTTATAGATTATGATATAGCTGTTAGGAGGTTCAGTGTCACAAGGATCCACACATTTTTGTGGGATTTTCTTTATCCATTGTATTCATAAATCATACCATCACTTTGTATCCCATAAGTATATACAATCATAAATGGTCAATTTACAATAATTTGTTTTCTGGTTCCTCTATTTAATATTATCCTAGAAAAGGTTTAGGAGGATGCCAGGAAAACACAGGGGGAAAACTACACAGAATTGGTCTGGGCAATGGTTTTTTGGATTTGACCCCAAAAGCGCAGGCAGCAAAAACAAAAACAGACAAATAGGATTATATCAAACTAAAAAGCTTTCTATACAGAAAAAAAGTAACAGTGTGAAGAAACAACCTATAAATGGGGAGAAAATATTTGCAAGTCATATATCCAATAAGGGGTTAATATCCAAAATATAGAAAGAACTCAAACAACTCAATAGCAAGACAACCCAATTTTAAAAAATGAGCAAGAGACCTGAATAGACATTTCTAAAAAAAAAAAAAAAATACAAATGGTCAACAGATATAAAAGATGTTCAATACCTACTAATCTTTAAGGAAATGCAAATTAAAACCCACAATGAGCTATTACCTCACACCTGTCACAATGACTATTATCAAAAAGACAAAAAAAAGTGTTGGTGAGAATGTGAAAAAAAAGGGAACCCGTGTACACTGTTAGTGGGAATGTAAATTAGCACAATATTATGGAAAATGCTGGGAAGATTCCTTAAAAATCTAAAAATAGAATTGGCAATCCCTCTTCTGGGTATTTACTTAAAAGACTTGAAATCAGTTTGTCCAAGAGATATGTTCACCCCCATGTTCACTGCAGCACTATTCACAATAGCCAAGTTACAGATTCGATCTAAATGCCATCAACAGATGAATGGATGAAGAAAACGTGGTAATACATAAACAACGGAATACTATTCAACCTTAAAAATCACTCCATCACACTCCAGCCTGTGTGCCAGAGTGAGACCCTGTCTCAAAAAAAAAAGGCTATTCTGTCATTTGCAACTACAACATAGATGGAATTGGACAATTTATACTAAGTGAAATAAGTCAAGCACAGAAACACAAATACCACATGTTCTCACTTATATGTGGAATAAGAAACAATTGAACTCAAAGAAGCAGAGAGTAGAATGGTGGTTACAGAGGCTGGGGGTTGGGAAATGGGGAAATGAAGAAATGATGGTCAAAGGACACAGTCTCAGACAGGAGGAATATGTTTTTGTTTTATTTTGTTTTAGATCTATTGCCCAGCTTGTTAAATATAGTTGATAATAGTATATTGTACATTTCAAAATTACTAACAGTATATTTCAAATGTTCTCACTACAAAACAATGATAGGTATGAGATAACAGATATGTTAATTGACTGGATTTAATTATTCCACATTGTATTCATAAGTCATAGCATCACTTTGGACCCCATAAATATATACAATCATAAAGGGTCAATTTATAAAAATTTGTTTTAAAGTGATTGACACACCCATATTAAGAAATACAATGTTGAAAAACCAGGGATCCATGTACCATAGATCACCTGATTGATTAGTAAATGAGACTTCTAGTGGATAGATGCAGCAATTACGTTAGTTATGAAACGATGGCTAATATCTAGGTTTGCAAAAAAGTAATCAAGGAAAAAAACAAACACTGTTGATTCTACCCTTGAGGTAAGACTGACCACAAATATAGGCAGAGTGAAAAATATCCATCTAAGGTGAATTTTGGCATACCAGAAAGGACCACTGGCTAACCAGGATCCCTGTCCTCTCACTGGTTTATGCAAGAGATTTTACTTCAGAAAGTGTTATTATAATTCCCATGTAATTGTGAATACAATAAATAGAAAGGCAGCAAGAACATTTGAAATCCCAAATCCTACTATTTGACTTGTAGGCAAGGAGGCAGGGAAAAGAGATGGAATATTAGAGAAAATTGTTTTGGGGATAAGGTTCATTCACCAGAGACCCCTGTCTTTAACTAACTATGATGCTCTGCAATGATTTCACATCTGGCTCAAGGCCTTCATGGAGACGTTAAACACAAGTATGCATTATTGTGTCTGAAGATGATACAAAGCAAAGATAAATTTATTATTCAAGGTAATATAAATAAGAAAATGTTTCCATCCCCTAAAAAATCCATTTTGAATAAACGTCAAAACAAACAAACAAACAAAAAAGCTAAAAACTGTTAGAGCTCAAATCGAAGGTTTGTGCCCAGAGGAAATATATCTTTACTACTAAGTAAGACTTACATCTCAAATCAGAATGCCAAGCGGCAGCAGAAGGCGGGTGGGATATCTCCATGAACAGATTTCAGTCAAGAAACCTTATCCTGGGTGGAGGATCTGACAGCAGGAACTGATGGAGAAACTTCTGGTATCACTGTCACAACTACGATCAGTTGAATACAGCAATCACTTGACTGGAGAAATGGTTCATGTCAGCCACCAAGATGCAACGATGCAACAATGACCCAAACCATATTCCATGCCTGAGTTTCACAAGGCGTGACTCTGCTATCTGTTCATCTTCCCATCAGCCTAAACACTCTTGGACATCTGTTATTCAGAGGGGACACATTTCTTTGCCAGTATCAAATGGACCAGAAACAAATGATGACTTCCTTGTCCTTCCTCCTTTTCTTCCCTTCCCTGGAATCTAAAGGAGTAGATGGAAGAGGAAGAAACAGCGAAATGCCTAATGCGACAGCTACATGCCACTGTCTCTAAGTTCTATCCATGAGGATGGGTTGATAATAGTGTATTGTACATTTCAAAATCACTAACAGAGTATATTTCAAATGTTCTCATCACAAAAATGATATGGTATGAGATAATAGGTATGATAGGTATGAGATAATACATATGTTAATTGACTGGATTTAATTATTCCACATTGTATTCATAAATCATTGCATCGCTTTGTACCCCATATATATATATATATATATATATATATATATATATATATATATATATATATATATATATATATTTGGAATAAGCCTCAAAACAAACAAACAAACAAACAAACAAACAACCTAAAAACTGTTAGAGCTCAAATCGAAGATTTCTGCCCAGAGGAAATATATCTTTACTACTAAGTAAGACTTACATCTCAAATCAGAATGCCAAGCGGCAGTAGAAGGTGGGTGGGATATCTTCATGAACAGATTTGAGTCAAGAAACCTTATCCTGGGTGGAGGATCTGCTGGGCATGACTCTGCTATCTGTTCATCTTCCCATCAGCCTAAATACTCTTGGACATCTGTTATTCAGATGTTATTCAGATTTTATATATATATATATATATATATATATATATATATATATATATATAATCATAAATGATCAATTTATAATAATTTAAAATTGATTTTAAATTATTATATTAGGGAATACAATATTGAAAAATGAGGGCTCCATGTACCATAGATTATCTGATTAATTAGTAAATGAGTAAAAATATACAATGCACTATTATCACCATCCCTAACATGCACAATCATAATCTTGAGGAAAAGAAAGTTAGGGAGACGTGAAAGTAGATTAAGTCTTATTCTCTCTATCCCCAATACAACGCTGGCTGCATAACAACCTTGTGCAACTGCCGCCAAGAAAGGAAAAGAGCAAAAATAGAGATATGAGCCTGGCGCAGTGGCTCATGCCTATAATCCCAGCATTTTGGGAGGCCAACGCGGGCAGATCACCTGAGGTCAGGAGTTCAAGACCAGCCTGGCCAACATGGCGAAACCCTGTCTTTACTAAAAACACAAAAATTAACAGGATGTGATGGTGCACACCTGTAATCCCAGCTACTCAGGAGGCTGAGGCAGGAGAATCACTTGAACATGGGAGGTGGAGGTTGCAGTAAGCTGAGATCATGACATTGCACTCCAGCCTGGGTGACATAGCAAGACTCTGTCTCAAAAAAAAAAAAAAAAAAAAAGAAAAAGAAAAAATAGAGATACGGTTTTAGAAAGCACAGTAGGGATAAAGAAATACAGATCCAGAGAATTGCCTCTTAAAAGTCTGTTACCTTCTGTGACTCTACTTCAAACTAACAACAACATTAATTTATAAATGTAAATATTTTTCTATAACACAATCTCTGGAGGGCAAAATTTATTTTCCTGCTTCAGTATATTTAGTCATACAAAAAGCAGTCATCACAGAACTGGTCTTAGACAAGAACTCCCCTGGCCAGTAGAGAAAGGCAGTGCTCCTCTCCCCCTGTATCTATCCACAGTCACAGAATCACAATAGATGCTAGGAAGCCTTTTGAAACAAGAGTTAATGCTGTACACAATGGCTTTTGAGAGCTGCATAGCAGCCCCAAGAGGCCCTGATAAAAGAGAGATTGAAGGAGGAGCAATGGGAATGTCTGAAAGAGAATCCTCCAGGAAGAAAGACGAAATCGCAGCGGGAACTAAACTCTTCAACAACCCAAGTAGTAGAGGATAATATTAATAGACACTTCTAGGATAGCTTAGGCAGGGGCTTGTTCCACTTCAGGCATCCTAGAGTACCTGTGCATTGTGGCAGGCAGGGGCTCTGTGCAGTGAGAGATGGTCTCACTAAACCCTGAAGTGATTGTGAGCTCAGCTAACTTTGCGATGGCATTTCCCCTTCTTACTCCCTAGTGAGGGGAGCACAGAAGAGTGCTCTCCTTCTTACCTCACTGGATTCCTGAGGCTGCACACCGACCATGCAGCTCCAAAAGCATCAACACAACAGCTCTGGCAACAGAAGCAAATGCCAGCTTAGACCCCATGGCTCTGTTGGGCTTGGATGGAACAAAGTGTCCAAGTGGACTTCCATGGCAATTAGTAAGGGCAAAGCTCGTTTTTGGACTTGTGTTACCACCTATGTTTACTCCAAGAAGTGCTTGAGGAGGGTTCTCTGCAAAAGACTAAACTTCCCACAGCTAGACAGGTGGAAGTTGGAAGCCACCTGTATTCTGGCATTTCTGTGCATTTATACTCACCAGGCAATAAAACCAGAGACACAAGAATGGAGTAACAAAAGTCCTAAGAAAACTGCCTGATAGATTCCATGTTATTTTTAGTGACTCCACCTGGAATCAACAAAGGGGCAAGAATGTATTCAGAAATGCTCAAATGTGTAAAAAGCCCTTTTAAACTTACTGATGCCTAATTTATACTCCAAAGGCCAATTGTTGCTTAGGTTTTGGCCTCATGCTTAGCATTGTGTGTGAGTTTACATTTTGTAAACAAGCTGCAACTTATCATAGCATTTTTTTGTTACTGAAAAGTTTAGTGCCAAATGGCTTGGCATTATTTTATTCATTAAGCTTCCTTTTTCCATTTGAAGTCTGAGTATATGCAGGGATAGAGTTACTATTGTTGCCATAATCTTTTATTCAAATAATCAGATAAATATTTCAAATGATACAGAGTGATAAAAGAAGCACTTCATTACCTTCACGCTGAAGATTCTCACAGTGATAAAAGGAAGAGGAAAAAATTGTGAAACGTGCTGCTGTTGAAAATCTAACACAACTCAAATGATTGGGCAGCTCTATAGCAAAGAGCCATTCTCGCCCCTTATTATAGAAATGGTCATTAATGTTTAATACCTGCTGGAAGAGAGAGTGGCTTTGTGAGCTGTGGGCTGGGAGATTGGTACTGTCTTCTTTCCTGATATTTACGAAGCTTCGGGGCTGAAGTGACATTTCCATTCCACTTGCTGCCGTTCTCTCTACAGCTGATTCCTTCAAGGCAGAGGAACAGGTTGCTTTTCCCATCTGCACCAAACCTCTGATCTCCAGGCTTGGCAAATTAGTTTTCAGACAAATAAAAAATATTTTGACAGTAAATCCTTGTTTATAATATCTCCCTGGGGAGGGAGTAATCAGTGTAGAATATCAGGCAGGCCATCAGTTTAACCACAATTTGAGTATTCAATCTGGTCGAACATAATTTCCTGCTTTGTTGTTGAATATTTTCTATTTTTCTGTCTTTTGTTATTTTCTTCAAAATCCCACTGCCCAAATAATAATAATATTGTAGAGGGTTAATTGTCATAAGGTAATCATAACCATTGGAAAAAATATGGTTTTGGCTTGTTCTCACCTATATAAGAAAATGAGTTTGAATTTATAAACTAACAGTGTTATTCTTTGCAGTACTATAAAAACATGCAATCTCTATATATTTGGATGACTGTATCTTTGTGATTGTTATATAAATATGTATACAATATTGCACAAATACAAAAATTAGACCTCTTCATTTCTATTAAAAAAATGAATTACTAGCATATGACTAAAGAATTATTTAGAATCATCCTAAACCAACTGAAGTATTCATATAATTTTTAAAAGAGGGCTTGTAGTAATGTTGACTTAGCTCTGACTATAATTAAACAAGCTAAACCAATAAACTGTTCCCAATGCACTAGAAGCTTTTTTACATTTTGGAGACTTTTGCTTTCAGAATTCTGGAGGGCAGATAATGGCTGCTATAAAAGATACTACTTGCACAGAGATTCACAGCAGACAGGAGTTTATGTACCAGTGAGCAAAAAAATAGGCAATAAAAAAGGGGAAAAGATGCCAATAAATCAATCAATGAAATAAATGGCATTACTGAGAAGAGGAAGTATAGTATTCTCCTCATGCCCCCACCCGAGCCCCAATCACACTTTTCCCTTAAAGCAATACTGAAGGCATGAACTGCAGATTTCTTTAAAAAAAAAAAAAATAAACGAAAAGAAAGAAAAAAAGAAATCCAGGGAATTCTAGAACTAGCAGAGAGTATATCCTGGATGGTGGAGTTGCTGAGAAGAATTTATATTGCTGCCTACAACTGAAATCAGGGAAGGAGACAGGGAACTTTCCTACAAGCCACTGTTGTCAGTGAGAGGACTATCCAGAAATTGGATTCGGTGTGCAGTTGGAAATATTGGCCTCTTATAAACATACTGACCTATAAAAATATGTTAATTAAAAATGTTAAAAATTTATATTTAGGTAGTCTGTGATTTAAAGGTTTTTTTTTTCTTTTCAACAAAAACAAACAAAATCTTTCCCATGTTTTAAATTTCCCATTGAGTGCTTGGGGAGAAAATAAATCATCAAAAACCAATCCATTAAAGTAATTACCCAAAGAATTCCTTGAGAAAACAATAGCAGCAGCAACGAAGAAGAATTGACATAGGTAATATTAGAAAAAGGGATATTTTTAAGCTACCTATTAGTAACAATGCATATAGGATGGAATAAATAGAATAGAATTGAAGGGTAGCAGAATATGCCATCCCAAAATAGGCGATTTATTTGGCATAAGAATTATTTATAGCCAAAGGTAAGACACAGAAACAAGAAAGGAAGAAACAGATACAAGAAAAGCTCTCTGCTCTCCCCCATCTGCCTACAGGCAGGGCATAAATTTGCAAAGGTACCTTTCCCCTCTCTTCCAGGAAGAACAGAAGTTAACATATGTGAGACCATGTCTAGACCCTCACCAGCCCTGATACCACACCAGAAAAGTCTATATCACAAACTTCACTAACTAGCCTTATCTACCATTATCCCCATATATCCCTATATATATGCCATCCCATGATTTATGTCCTAGAAGCTCAAAGTTCTTTTCCTTATTTTTGTCACTTCCCTACAATTTTATCATTTTTAAAGATGATATATCAGCTCAAATTCTCACCACCCCTTCGAATTACTCATCATAGAATACTCCCGTGTGTGTGCACTATGCACGTTAATAAGTTTCTGTTTGTTCTTCGCTTGCTAATCTGTCTTTTCTCAGTCTAATTTACAGGGTCCCAGCCAACGAATCTTAAGTGAGCAGCAGAAAAAAATGTATAAAATAAAACTGAATTTTTTTCTCCCCTTCAGAATAAAAGGGCATGAATGACAGAGCAGCCATTTTGGAGAATGGAGCTGGTGGAAACAGGAAAATAAAGGAAGGAATGCACATGGGAATCGATTCAGAAAACAAGTCCTCAGACTCAGATTGCTGATTTCAAATGGAGGCCAAGATGAGAAGGCCAAAAATCTTCTAGGACTTTTGTATAATATTTACATGGCCCTTACGGCATGACCCTTATTTCTATAAGTCTTGTTGGAAAGTAATATTTCTGCAGAGGTCCTACAGAGGTAGCTACAGAGGTAGCTATATGGGTATATATAAGACAACATATTATTAAATAGTGACATAAAAGACAGCATATTAGATGTCCCTTTTTCCAAGTGTCTGGGTAGCTTGCATATATTTATAACTGAAAGCAACTTTTCTTGGCTAAATGAGATGGATAGTGAAAAACTTAGTACTTTTAGGTCATTAAAATAACCCTAGTGAGCCCTCTGATTAGAAGTTTGCTAGAATTGAGGTTGATTCTCTTTTTAGGGCTTAGCTTTATTTTATTTCTCTGAAAATAACCAATAAACATATATGAAGCAACATAAGTAAAGGTTATTTATCAAAAATACTGTATGTAATAGTAAAAAATTGGAAATAAACCAACTTCCCATCAATAGAGAGCTGGTTAAATTACCATATGTCTATAATGTGAAATTCTATGCAGATGTAAGAAAGAATGACAAAGCTCTTGATGTACTGATAAAGAAAGATCTCCAAGATATATCCTTAAGCAAAAATAGCAAAATAGAGAACAATCCATAATATGCTACATGTTGTGTGAGAAAGAGAGAAAACAACAATATAAGCATGCATTTACATGGTTGTGCCTAAAGGAATTCTGGAAGGATACTCATAATTAATAATAGCGTTACCCACTGGTACAGAGGAAAATGGGGCTGATGAGCTGATGAAGGTAAAGGTGGGAGCAAAACTTTTTACTGCATACCATTTTGTATTGCATATTTAATCATGCAAGAGTATTCCCTATTCAAACATTTAAAATAAATGAGATAAAAATCTGATATAAGCTTCAATACACAAAGACTGTGTTTTAAATTTTTGTTGTTGCTGCTTCATTGTTGCTTTATATCTAAGAATATAACTATTTAGTTATCGCTTCCAGCCCTCTTCTTGGTAAGATGTACTGCTTTCAAATGGCCATTCACATTTTGGGGGTAGACACAGAAAGTTTTTTCCATAAACTAATGACTGTTTCAACTAGTGAAAGCGTTCTGACCTTAGTAATAACCTTGCTTGCAACAGAAAAAATTGGCCATGGTGAGGCCCAACTGTAACTCCATTCAGTCATTTCAGGGGGTGTACTGGGAAGATCCTCTTTGCTCTTGAGTAGCAGCTTAGAGCACAGGTGGCTCCCTCTTTCAAGGGAAACCCTCAAAGCAACTTTGTGAGTGTTACATGTTTCATTTGTTGTTATGTGTGATACATATTGCTTATGGAAAGGGGTGCATATATTTATGGTGACTTATTTGTCATAGGTTTCTTCATTTTATTTTTTTAATGGAGAAAAAATAAAAAGTCCAGTGATTGATCAGCTAGTGTTATAGTAGCATTTTAGACCCTTGGTGGGAATTTGGTCAAAGTCTTTTACAATATCACTTTATGATCTCTGGTGCCTTCTCCCCAACTTTTCTCCTTAGAGATCTTTGTTCATACTTTTTTAAATTTTGAGAGAGTGTCTTGTTCTGTCACCCAGGCTGGAGTGCAATGGCATGATCTTGGCTCACTGCAACCTCTGCCTCCCCTGCTCAAGCAATCCTCCCATCTCAACCACCCATGTTCATACATGTTAAACAGAAATTATCTTGAAAAGTGCAAATTCTTCACTTATCCTTAAAGAAATAATTAGAACCGTATTACTAGGATAGTAATCTTCCACAGTGTTTATTTGGCATCCATCTACAAAAGAGGCCTATTGAGTGGCCTCTTTCCTTTGTCAACATTGAACTAGCTGGCAACTTTCAGGACCTTATTATTTACATTGCATGGGCTGGTTTCAAGGCTATTTCAGATGTATGGTGTAAGAAAACAAAGTGGAACTTATGGTATGCTATGTAAGGCAATTAGTTTGCTTTGGTTGCAAGTAACAGAAAACCCAGCTAAATTGGTTTAAGTAATAAAGCAAGTATATGGATTTACTTAAATACAGATTACAACTGTAGTGTATGTAGGTTTGTGACATCATCATCAGAGTTCCGTCTGTCTTTGTGTATAATTTGACTCTGCTTTCTTCTTACATCAGCTTTGTTTTATTTGGCTGACTTCATGCGGCAAGAATGGCAGCAGCAATTTCCAGCATCATGTCCAACACCTTACCATTTGGGCTAAGTTGTGCTGCAGAAAAACAACTCCCACATCTCAATGGCTTATCCCAATGAAAAAAATAATTTCAATTCACTGTACATTTCCATTGCAGGTCAACTCTGGCTCTGTTTCACACAGTCTTTTTCCAGGACTCAAGCTAATGGAGAATCCCCTACCTGAGTCATTGCTAGTGTTATGGCTTAGGAGAAAGATGAACATGGATGGAGGTAATACATGACGGTTCTTAAAACTCCTACTCACATGTGGCATACCTCACTTCCTTATACATGTCATTGACCAAAGTAAGTCACACAGACAAGTCTGAAATCAACTGGATTAGGAAATACAATCCTACACTATTCAAATGAGCAGGAAGCACTTTTGCCCTAGCATTCCAAAGTAAGTCTTAATATTCATACTGATCGGATTGACTAAATTTCCATGCTAAATTGTTAAATTATTTACTGTGGCCAGAGGAACAGAAGGCTCTGATTGATTTAGCCTGAATCACATTATTCACCTTTGATACTGGGATTAAATTTAGCTTCTTTGTTCCCACAAGGATCCCCCAAAGAAAACTGAAGGTCTTTGGGGCAAGACAGACAAAACGGTTGCTGAGAATAAAACACAACATCTAGTATAATGTACACTATGTTTAACAATGTTAACACCAAAATTTTTGAGAGGCAAACTAATGATTGTTAAAAATTTAAACAAAGGAGAATTATACCATGCCACCTCTCCAAATTTGAAGCTATTAAAAAACTGCATGCTTTCTTTTAGCAACAACAACATCAAAATTCAAATACCTTAAATGGTGCTTCAGCTGCTCCTTCTTAACCTAAGAAATGTGTTTTGCTGTTGATAATGACATTCTGTCAAAGGGAAGATACAAAACTCACCTCACATTCTCTTTAAAACTGAAATTGGGGACAAGTAAGTGGAGGAATTGAGGACTTATTTATCATTGATAACACATACTTATAAAAAATGGAAATATGTAAACTGTTAACATATTCTTATATATGATTCACTATGCAACGTCTCCTAGAGAGTATCATATGTCAATTATATTATGTATATGATTTGGTCTTAAGCAAAGCCTATTCATCTGCAATTAATATTTTATAGTTAGTGCTTAAAGATTGTTAAATAAAGTGTAGAACCTTAAGGCTTCAGAATGATTCATCAGTTAATTATACACAGATGTTTAACTTTGCCAAGGAGTTGGGCTGATGCGATTTTATCTTAGTTGCTATTTTTAAATTGACCCATATAGTGTGTGCGTGTATGTGTGCATACACATACACACACACACATACGCATACATACACATAGATATATATGAATCAATGGTTCTTATATTCTCTTTGTGACAGATGAAGCGATTCAGCCCCGACACCAACTCAAGTCAAGGTACGAATAGGCGTCAAAGTCCAAGGAGAAATAATTAAAGATTCATTCACTCTATGATCTGTAATCCTGGTTGTATAAAACTTAGTCTACCCATCCCCCACCTAGCTGAGTATTCCCAAAGAGAAGTCCTATTTAGGACTAGGTATGGTAGGTTAAAATGTGAATATCAAAGCAAATGAATTGCAATGTCAGTTATATAACAAGGGCCCTGTCACCTTGAGAGCTTCTCTTCCCACGTGAACATGAAGCAGAGAAATCAGCAGCTTTGGTAGCTGTGGCAACCACACCGCCAAGCCTGAAGAGCAAATGTTCCCTGTGCAGGTTTTGTGCCCCTCTGGCGCTTTGTAGATTCTGCTAATGTTAAAGCCTCCAGATTCTCCACTTGCTGAATTCATCCAGCAGGGAAAATTAGAGCTGTGATCAGGAAACAAAAGGAGGCTTGCTTTGTGTATGAAAAAGTAGGAAAACACCCTTCAGTTAAAGCAGAAATGCTCTCAATGGCCATCTACAACAGCATCATAAATAGTAGCAAATATTTATCATGCACATTGTTTGTTTAAATTCTAAGAATACAGGGCCAGTTTACTAAGGTTAACCAACCACTGCATTAGTAGCTCCCAAAGCTTGCAAATTTAGGATAAATATCAAAACATCTATATGTTATATAGAACCAGAATTGTAGGCCGTGGCAAAGAGTATTTATTGGACATGTGTTGAATATTATAATCAAGGAGCCTAGCATCAAATTCCAAATAAACCTATAGTAATTGTTTTGTTCAACAGAACATTGTGTTTATAAACAGTTTTGCATTTATTTTTATCTTTTATATATTTTTAAATTTTTTTATCTTTTCTACCTATTTCTAGAAAAATAATAAAGAGTACAAGACAAAGTAAAAAGGAAATACTTTTCCTGCCTTATGGGTGCATCTAGATTTGCCAAAAATTTAGTTTACTTACCTCACTACAGCTCAGGAAAGCAAAAAAGGCACTTGCCTCAGTCCCTATGACACATGCATGTACATGAGGCTTCCATTTCCATGTAGCTGCAGCTTCTCTTCTTCTCTACTGCCAGAATCCCTAGGGAAAGCAGTGACATGAAAGTCTTAAAATTATATTTCCCAGTTTCCCTTGCAGAAAATGGTGGCCCCACATTGGGCAGCTCTTAAAAATACAAGGAAACATATGAAGAAACCTAGATGATCTTGGGGATGGTGATGACTTTTTAGACATCACATGAAAGAAAGAATTGATGAGTTGGACTTTATTAAAATTAAAAACGTTCTGCTCTGTGAAAGACAATGTCAAGAGAATGAGAAGGCAAGCCACATATTGGGAGAAAATATTTGGAAAAGACACCTAATAAAAGACTACTATCCAAAATACACAAAGAAGTCTTAAGATACAATAAATTACCTGATGAGAAAATGAACTAAAGACCTTAACAAACACCTCACTCAAGAAGACATACAGACGACAAAATAAGCATATGAAAAGATGCTCCACATCATATGTTATCAGGGAAAGGCAAATTAAAACAATGATGATATACTACTACATGCCTATTGGAATGGCCAAAATCTGGAACACTGATAACACCAAATGCTGGTAAAGACACGGAGCAACAGAAATTCCATTTCTGGTAGAATACAAAATGGTATAGCCACATTGGAAGACAGTTTGGCAGTTTCTTACAAAACTAAACATATTCACCATATAATCTAGCAATCATATTCCTTGGTATTTATCAAATGGAGTTGAAAACTGAAGTCTACACAAAAACCTGCACTCTGATGTTTATTTATAATTGCTAAAACTTGAAAGCAACTAAGATAATCTTAGGTTTTACATAAGTAGATAAATCAATAAATAAACTGTGGCATATCCAGACAATGGAGTATTATTCTGTGCTAAAAAGAAATGAGATATCAAGCTATAAAAAGATATGTAGGAATCTTAAATGTTTATTATTAAGTGAAAGCAATCTGAAAAGGCTGTATAATTATAACCATATGACATCTTTGAAGAAGCAAAACTATGGAGACAGTAAAAAGATCAGTGTTGCTAGGGGTTGCGGGGAGGGAGGGATGAATATGTAGAGCATAGAAGGTTTTCAGGAGAGTAAAAATACTCCTTATGATATTATAATGGTGGATCTATGTCAGTATACATTTGTCTAAACCCATAGAATGTACACCACGAAGACTGAGCCCTAATGTAAACTATGGACTTTGGGTGATAATGATAGTTAATGTAGGTCATCAATTGTCACAAACGTACCCCTGTGGTGGGGATGTTGCTAATGAGGGAGGCCATATGTGGGGACAGGGGATATATAGGAAATCTCTGTACCTCCCTCCTCAACCTAAGACTGCCCTAGGAAAAATTTTCTAATTAATTTTTTAAAAGTAAGCTGACCGTTTATGGCCTTCCTTTTTCTTCCTGGAACTATAGCAGCACCTTATATCATGAAGTAGAGAACCAGACCACATGGAGGGCAGAATGAAGAGCCACAAGGAGCCACTGGTGGCGCTTGTGCTCTCCCTACTTCCTGTCATCTCCTTACATGGGAAAAAAATACAAGTAATGTTCAGGTCACCATATTCACACATCTTACAAGTGACCAAATGAACAAAATAACCAGAGGAAGTTAAAAGAGTCACCGCTTTTAGAATTGAGATGGGAAGGGCTATAGAATGATTTAATTATTAAAGAAGAATTCATGAAGGAGACATGAATAGGCTAGGACTTGAACAGAGTAGGATTTACCTTAACAGAAAGTAAGACGATAAAGATGAAGGTGCTGAAAGGACACTAAAACTCAGGGGAAGAATATAAGCAATGGAGGAAGTGCAGGTGTCAGGATGCAATGTAAACAGAGTTGGTGAAACCAGTGATTTTAGAGGAATGCTGCCAGGGAGATAACTTATGGAGAGACAGACAAAATAAAGATGGGGAAACTGCACCAAGCTGGCTTTCCAAAAATTAGGTGAGAACCAAATTTATTATAGTTGCAGTTTGACCAAATGGAAGAAAACGTCAAAACAGACAGAATTATGTATGCTCTACTCTCAAAGTTCAAGGCAGTGGGATTCCCACTGATGTTAATCAAAGGAAAGACTCCACTTAAAAATAAAACAAAAGGCTGGGCACAGTGGCTCATGCCTGTAATCCCAGCACTTTGGGAGGCTGAGGTGGGCAGGTCACCTGAGGTCAGGAGTTCGAGACCAGCCTGGCCAACATAGTGAAACCCTATCTCTACTAAAAATACAAAAAATTAGTTGGGCGTGGTGGCAGGTGCCTGTAATCCCAGCTACTCAGGAGGCTGAGGCAGGAGAATTGCTTGAACCTGGGAGGTGGAGGCTGCAGTGAGCTGAGATCACGCCATTGCACTCCAGCCCTGGCGATAGTGTGAGACTGTCTCAAAAAATAATAATAATAATTAAAATAAGTAAAAAATAAATAAAATAAAATAAAACAAAAGGTAATTAGAGGTAGAATCTCAAGTGTTCTACTATTCTATGCCTTGACAGAAAGGTGGGAAGAATTTGGGAAGATTCTGTGAGGCAGATCAAGAGGTACTAACAGAAAAAATTCTAGTATATATTACAAGGTTACTATAAGCCTGAACATTCCAGAGGGCTTTTGAGTACTACTGCCACAGAGGTTCTCCCATGACCATTGAGCAGTTAGTTGGGTAATAAGTCACATAGTGGCCGGGTGTGGTGGCTCATGCCTGTAATCCCAGCACTTTGGGAGGCTGAGGCAGGTGGATCACTAGGTCAGGAGTTCGAGACCAGCCTGGCCAACATGGTGAAACCCCATCTCTACTAAAAACACAAAAATTAGCCGGGCGTGGTGGTGTGCACCTGTAATCCCAGCTACTCAAGAGGCTGAGGCAGAAGAATCACTTGAACCCAGGAGGCGGAGGTTGCACTGAGCCGAGATCGTGCCACTGCACTCCAGCCTGGGCGACAAGAGTGAGACTCCATCTCTAAATAAATAAATAAATAAGTCATGTAGCTACATATCCATTCCACCTGGTCCACTCCTCAGCATCATTGCCTGGGTCTGGGAAAAGACAGAAGGGTACTCTTAGAGTGCCCTGTGGAAGGTGGCCTGCTCTTACTGGGCCTACCTAAAGAAAGGAGTAGAACAGGAAGTCAGCACTATTGTTATAATAAACAGTGTTTAATCTAAGGGAACAAGCAAACAAACAAACAAGAAAACTAATGTGAAAAAGAGTTAACAATAATAAAAAATTATGTCAAACATTCAATAGTTTTACCACTGCATAGATACTATATAAATGTTGAGGTGCCTAAAAAATTTAGAGTAATCTTAGGGCCTTCTGTCTTTCTATATAATAGAATTATAATTATTTGCAACATTTATTATCAACAGAATAGATATTAGTTAAATGAAGTAGAAAGAGAAATGATTTCCATAAATATGTTCCAGCCATTAAGAGTTTGCAAGCCAAAAATCTAAAACTTTAAGGTTGGACAAATATGGCTAAAAGAAATCCCAGATTCACCTCTACATACTAGTACAGAGAAGATGATCATTAAGCATTATTAAAGTAAAGAAGATTTAAAATAAGTTATTAAATTAACTCTTCTTTTTCTTTAATTTTCACAGAAATTCCCACTCTCTTTTGAAACTCATTTTTGTCTTTTTAAAACTCTTCTCCAAATCACATTTTCTAGTTAAACTTTACTAGAGCAGGTAGCAGGGTAAGTTCTAGTTTGATAAGCAATATTTTCCATGAATAGCTACAGTACAGATCATCTGCCTATCTGAAACTAATGTTCACTATATAAGAGGCAGCATTTAGGCAAGTAATATCAACTTGTGACATAATAATTATATAATGTTTGATTCCCAAATAAAAATTTTATTAAATACAAAACATTATAAATTGGCCAGGTGCGGTGGCTCACACCTGTAATCCCAGCACTTTGGGAGGCTGAGGCGGGTGGATCACGAGGTCAGGAGATTGAGACCATCCTGGCTGACACGGTGAAACCCCGTCTCTACTAAAAACACAAAAAATTAGCCAGGTTTGGTGGGGGGCACCTGTGGTCCCAGCTACTCCGGAGGCTGAGGCAGGAGAATGGCATGAACCCAGGAGACGGAGCTTGCAGTGAGCCAAGATTGCGCCACTGCACTCCAGCCTGGGCATCAGAGTGAGACTCCGTCTCAAAAAAAATTACGAATTAAGATATTATGAAGTACATGCAGAACCCAGGGGTTCTTTTTGTATGTGTATATATATACTTGGAGGGGGTGGTGTGTGTATACTATATATACATGCATATATATATATATATATATATATATATGGAAAATGATTCAGAAATTAGGAAACTGATTATTTTTATAACAGCAGAATTCACTGCATATTTGGAGATTCTTCAGTCTGGGTCAGATCTACGTAAGAGACCCAAAGTAAATCTATCCCTGTGTTTCTTTGCTTTCAATCTCTTCTCATGTTTCAGTCACTGAATGAATGACTAGTGAAACTCTTCTTCCAGATGGCCCATGTTGAGTGGGTCAAACCTAGAGCAGTCAAACATTAATTCCCCAGAGGCAATATGCAAATGAAAAAGCATATATGAAAAGCCAAAGCCACACCAAATAATCCCAGCAACATTCTTTTTTGACTATGCCAAGCTAATTACCCTAAAAATATTTCACTCCTTCAAAATCTGAAAGTTATTAATGAATGAATATCAGGAATCTAAACAATGACTCTTAAACATATATATTTGTGATAACTCCCTATGTTCAAATGTAACATTGTAAAACATATAGACACACCCATCTGTTTTAAAGGAATAATTCTGAAGTAATCAAGAAGAAATTTAAAATAAAAGTAAACATTAGGGAAACAAAAACATTATCCAAAGCAACATTGAAACTTTATTGACTATGCAGCTTATATTTTTAATTTTTAAAAATTTGTAACACATTCACGTAGTTCAACATTTTTTTAATTAAAATGCTAACAAAAACCTCTCATTCCTCCTCAAGTCCTATCTTTCATTTGCTCAGGTTCTCTGGCTGATTTCCATTTCTCTTCTCGTTCCAGTGAAATCCTGTGAGATCAATGTGCAAAATTGATCAAAGTCACAAAACAGATTTGTGTGTAAACAAACACACACATATATATAAATGCAATGCATGACATAGAGGACTTTTTAAATGGTGGGGGGGAAGATTGATTATGCAGTAAATATCATCCTGTCAAATAGCTATACATCTGGGAGGAAGTTATTCCTATTTTATAGCATAGAAATGTGAATCAATGACTATATTCCAAGTAAATTACAGATATAAACCTTAAAACAATAAAATTACTAGCAGTAAGTATAGTATAATTTTTATATCACCCTGGGATTAGGAAGAATATTGAGAAAAAAGCTAAGAAACTAGAAAGAAAGTCTACCAAAACTGACTACTTAAAAGTTTAAATTGTCTATTCAGGAATAAACTCTACAACAGAAGTTAAATAGCAGGAAGTACATAAATATATATATGTGTATGTACGTATATATAGACACACATATATGTGTGTGTGTGTGTATATATATGCATATATATGTGAGTGTGTGTATTTCCAACATATACAACAGACTAAGGTTTAATATTCAAAACATGTAATGAGTGCCTATTTCTATATTTATATAAGAGAAAGACAAAAAACTCAATAGAAATATGAGCACAAGTTATAAAAGAGCAATTCACAGAAGAAATACAGATCGACAGTAAATATACCTTTTAAAATATTCAGCCTTACCAGGTATCAGGAAAATGTATATTAAATAACAAGATACAAATTATTTACTCTTCAGACTCGTAAACACTAATAAGATGGGATAACATCAATATAGAGTGTCTGTAACATAGTAAGGAAATCTTCAGTTTTATATCTTGCAGGTATAAATAAATAATATATACATATATGTATTAAGATGGAGAAAATTTTATGTTCCAGAATTCCAAGAGGACTAAGAAGACAAGCCCAGCTGGCAAGGACCACCCCCACACCCACTGCTACCTTACCCCACCTACCTCCACTGCCCAAGAGAAGCAGTTGGCTTGAGAGCCTGTACTACACTGTTAAAGTGGGTTCCAGATGATAAGGAGTATCAGGCTGAAGGTAGCTGGACGTTGGCAAGTAATAGAGCTGGAGAAGTGGAGCCAATGAGATGGCAGAAGACCAAGTGAGGAGTGAGAAGGAATGATATCATTTATTATGACTTCTCCTTCCTTCAGAGACATTTTGAATTTGGCGTATGATTGGCTTTTTGGAGGAAAACACTGAAGGGGGAATGGAATATACCTTGCACACAGATAAAGCATAGTGAAGACATAAAGGGCTAATATGCGGGGAAGCCTTGAATTGCCACAGATACTAAAATTGGAATTTGGGTCAAGTTAATCCAGACTCCTTTTCTTATTTTTATTTTTTTTTGAGACAGAGCTTCACTCTTGTTGCCCAGGCTAGAGTGCGACGGCAGGGTCTCGGCTCACTGCAACCTCCGCCTCCCAGGTTCAAGCGATTCTCCTGCCTCAGCCTCCCTAGTAGCTGGGATTACAGGCATGCACCACCATACCCGGCTACTTTTTGTGTTTTTAGTAGAGACGGGGTTTCTCCATGTTGGTCAGGCTGGTCTCGAACTCCCGACCTCAGGTGATCTGCCCACCCCGGCCTCCCAAAGTGCTGGGATTACAGGCGTGAGCCACCACACCCAGCTTAATACAGACTCCTAACAGTCAGAAAATCTCTAGTTTTAAATTTTAAAAAAAGAAAGATTACATGTGTGTGTTTGTATATGCATGTGTGTATGTGCACACACTTAATACACCATGATATGTTAGGACACTGTTTTACTATAGCACTTTCCAGCTTGGAAACAGTTTTATATTTTAAAAACTAAACACATACACATATTTTGCTCTGCAGTTACTACTTGTTTTTACTCATGACTGGTCATGTTTTTTATGAATTGAATCCTTTGCTACATTTGTCCATATGGGCTGCTATCACAAAATCCTTTAGACTGAGTAAACTTAATAGACAACTTTATTGCTTAAATTTCTTATAGAGAAATGTATTGCTCATAATCAAAATATTTTGATTATAGTACTATGACAAAATTTATTTTAAACTATATTCTTTCTTGTATAAACATTTTAATAGAGTTAACATTTGCCTTTCTTTATTAGATATATTTACTTTGATTTAAATTTTTACTGTAAAATATTCACACATACAAAGAGGCTGAGGCGTCCAAGATCAAGGTGCTGGCAGATTTGGTGACTTGTGAGGGCCTTCCCCTTTGTAGATGGTGCCTTCTACCTGTGTCCTCACATGGCGGAAGGGGAAAACAAGCTCTCTGGGCCTTTTTTAAGGATACTAATTCCATTCATGAGGGCTCCACCCTCACGACCTAATCAGCTCCCAAAGGCCCCATCTCTTAATACCATCACTTTGGGGGTTAGGATTTCAACATACAAATTTTGTGAGAACACAAACATTCTGACCATAACAGCTGATGGCTCAGGCAATGAGCAAAAGGGGCTGTACTATGCTGTCCCCAGAAAAGGATTTTTGCTCAAATACTGTTTACTCTACTATTTTTTTTAACTATTTTATCTGTACTAAGTAAAACATACATCATTTAGTAAGTTTATTTAAACCATAAAGCTAATCACCAACCCTACCAAGAAAAAGAAGACAATACCTTTCCTAACTCCACCTTTTTACCAAGTCTTCTTTCTCAGGAACAACAACTTTCGATTCTCTTAGTTGTTTCTTTTTGGTCTTACCTTCATATTTGGATATAAGATTTATATTGATATTTCTTTATTTTTTCAACATTAGACATCATGCTTAACTTTCTTTTATAGAAGAAAAGAAATTAGTTCTCTTAGAGCATTATCCTAACTCATAATTCCCCTATATTCTTCTCTAAATAGATATATAATATTTTTATTAAATCAAAATATTTTGATTATAGTACTATGACAGAATTTATTTTAAACTATATTCTTTCTTGTATAAACATTTTAATAGAGTTAACATTTGCCTTTCTTTATTAGATATATTTACTTTGATTTAAATTTTTACTGTAAAATATTCACACATACAAAGAAGCACATGAGACAACAATGCAGAGAAAGTATTGATGTAACTACCATGTAGGCCAAGAAATAAATATGACCACAAGATACATTCTTATCACAACTCCCTTCCTCCCTCCCTCCCACCCTCAGAGATAACCTGTACACTAATATTGCTGTAAATTATTTTCATGTTTTGTTTTACCAAGTAATTGCACATCTTACAAACTAAAGCTTAATTATGACTGGTTATGTATGTTTACCTTAGTTTATAATGCTAAACTGTTTTCAAAACTTATTGTGCCAATTTATTTTGCCACCCATAACGTAAGTCTTAGTTGTTCCACATTCTTCCTAATACTTGAAGTATGTACACACACATACACACATACACACACACAAATTTTATATATATATATATATATATATATATATATATATATATATATAATTTTTGTTATTCTTGTGGTTGTGTAGTGGTGTCTCACTGGGGTATAATTTATACTTGCTGGATGACCAATGAGGCTAAGCACTTTGTATATGTTTATTGACTTTCTGAATTTCCTCTTTTATGGATTTACTGTTTAAGTCTTTTGACTATTTTTCCTTGGGGTTTTCTGTTTTATTCTCATTAATTTTTAATAGAAGTTATTTATGTATTCCGAATTTTTTTGGTGGGGGTGACAAGATCTTGCTCTGTCACCCAGGCTGGAGCACAGTGTTGCAATCACGGCTCACTGCAGCCTTCGCCTCCTGGGCTTGAGCAATCCTCTCAGCCCCCTGAGTATCTGGGACCACAGACACATGCCACCACACCTGGCTAATTTTTTGTAGAGAGAGGGTTTTGCCACGTTGCCCAGGCTGGCCTTGAACTCCTGGGTTCAAGCGATCCTCCCGCCCCTGCCTCCCAAAGTCTATGATTACAGACATGAGCCACCAGGCCCAGCCCTGAATTGTTTCTCCACTGTGTGGGTTGCATTTCACTTTTATTGTGATGTATTTTAAGTAAACTATTTTAATGTAATCCAGTTTTTCCTTTATGGTTGATGCTGCTTCTCTATTTTTTTCTTTTGGTCTTAAAAACTACTTTTCTACTTTAAAATTCTGAAGATATTCTCCTATTTTATTTTTCAAAAGATTGTTTTGCCTTTTATATATAAATATATGATTTTATAATTGACTTATATGTATGATGATTTATAGATGTCTAGTTTTATTTTCAAGTATGGATATCCAACTGTCCCAACACCTTTTAACAAAAAAAGTCATCTTTTTCCATAGCTTTTCAGTGCCATTCTTTATAAAAAAAAAACAAAAACAAAACAAACAAACAAAAAAAAAAATCCATATATCCCTGGATTGATTTTTGGGCCCTGAAATCTGCTTTCTTATTCTCCACTGATATCATACTCACTTAATTATAATATCTTTAAAAGGTTTTATATTTGGTAGAATATGTACTTTGTTTATTGAAATCTTTTAAGTATCTTAGCTATTCCAGACCCTTCACATTTATATTCACACACACACACACACACACACACACAGATTTTAAATGGGATTGTATTCAATCTATAGTTTTGTTTGAAAAAAGGGACATTCTTGCAAACTTAAATTCTAGTTATTAAGTTTTAGTTGAAAAAGTACACTGGACTAGATTAATGGAAAATTAAACATTACAGAAAAAAAGAGTAGTAATCATAGATACACAGCAATATAAGCTCTCTAAAATGCAACAGAAGAAAAAAATCCCTTATGTGGCCTATTTTATATATATATATCACTAATGTATTGGGGAGGGAGACATAAAAATGTTGAAGAAATAGTTGATGAAATTTTTTTCAAATTTGATAAAAATTATAAACTCACAGGATCTGAATAAACCCCAGGTCTCACAAATATAAAGAAAACTGGCCAAAAACACATAATAATCAAATTCCTTAGAATCAATGACAAAGAGAAAATCTAAAAAGCAACCAGATAAAAAAGACATTATATACAGTGGAACAAAGATCAAGATAACAGCAGATATTTTTAAAACAATGCAAGCTGGAAAACAATGGACTATCATATGTAAAGTAGTGAAAGAAAAATAAAGTGACAACTTAGAATTCTTTATTCAGCAAAAAATATTCTTTAGTAAAGAAAGCAAACTAAGGACTTTTTCAGACTTACAAAAACTGAAAGAATTCATCACAGCAAACTGACATTATAAGAAATATTTAAGAAAATCCTGGACTGGTGCAATAGCTCATACCTGTAATCTTAGCACTTAGGGAGGCCGAGGTGGGTGGATCACCTGAGGTCAGGAGTTCAAGACCAGCCTGGCCAACATGGTGAAACCCCATCTCTACAAAAAATACAAAAAATTAACTGGGCATGGTGGTGAGCACCTGTAATCCCAGCTACTCAGGAGGCTGAGGCAAGAGAATCACTTGAAAGCAAGAAGCGGAGGTTGCAGTGAGCCGAGATCATGCCATTGCACTCCAGCGTGGGAAACAAGAGTGAAACTCCATCTCAAAAAAAAAAAAAATCCTTTCAGCAAAAGAAAAATACTGAAAAGAAACTTGGCTCTACGCAAAGAAATGAAGAGCACCATGAATGTGTCTACACAGGTAAATATAATGACTATTTTTATTATTTAAATCTCTAAGAAATCATTAACTGTTTAAAGCAAAATAATAAGCAAATATTACAAGATTTTTACACATATGGAGTGTAATGTATGACAACAGTGCATAAAAGCCAGGACAGGGGAAGAGAAATATAATTTTACAAGTTTATTATACTATACATAAATTAATATAACATTAATAATTTAATTAGTAAGTTAAAGATGTACACTATGTTTTAAATTATCCACTAAATTAACACCAAAAAATTGTATCTAATAAGCCAACAAACAAGATTAAATTATTTTAAAAATTCCAAAAAGGCAAGAGAAAAAGGAAACAATAATAAATAACAGATGAAACAAACAGAAAACAAATAGTAGTAATAGAGTGAGACCCAAACATATAGAGCATTTATATGCCATTGATGGGAATGTAAACTAGGAGAGCCACTATGGAAAACAGTACTGAGATTTCTTTAAAAAACTAAAAATAGCATTCAATCTAGCAATCCCACCACTGGATATCTACCTAAAGGAAAAGAAAGCAATATATCAAAGGAATACCTGCACTCACATGATTATTGCAGCACTATTCACAATAGCAAAGATATGGAATCAACTTAAGTGTCCATCAACTGATGAATGTATAAAGAAAATGTAGTATATGTACACACTGGAATACTATTCAGCCATAAAAATGAATGAAATCTTGTCATTTGCAGCACCATGGATGGAACTGGAGGTCATTCTCTTAAGTGAACTAAGCCAGGAACAAACAGACTTATATCTTTGTTTTCATATATACGTGAGAGCTAAAATACTTGAGCACAAGAAGGTAGGGACTAGAAAAATACACAACAGAGACTGGGACAGATGAGTGAAGGAGAGGGAAGAAGATGAAGAGAGGTGGGCTAAAGGGTACAAACATACAGTAAGATAGAATATATTAAATGTCTGATAGCAGAGTAGAATGAATATATTTTTAAAAATGTATTGCACTTAGGTGATGGATACCCTAAATACCCTGACTTGATTACTACACATTATATACATGTAAAAAATTTTCTATATATCCCATATATTTTTCAATTTAAAAAGAAGGCTGAGCATGGTAGCTCATGCCTGTAATCCTTTAGAACTTTGGGAGGCCGAACTGGGAAGATTGCTTGAGCCCAGGAGTTCAAGACCAGCCTGGGCAACATAGCAAGATCTCATCTCTACAAAAATTAAAAAATAAAAAGTTAGTGGGGCCCAGTGGCACACATCTATAGTCCTAACTACTTGGGAGGTTGAAGCAAGAGGGTCACTTGAGCTCTGGAGTTCAATGTTATGGTAAACTATCATCATGCTGATGCACTACAGGCTGGGTAACAAAGTGACACCCTGTTTCTAAAAAAAATTTAAATTAAATTAAATTTCTAAAAACCCAACCATATGAATAATCACATAAATCTAAGGGACTTAAGCACCTCCAATTCAAAGGAGATTTTGTCAGGTTGGATAAGAAAGTAAGACTCAACTGTATGGTGCTTACAAGAAGTTCACTTTAAATATAAAAACAAGAATAGGTTAAATGTATAAGGATGGGAAAAGATACACCAGTATGTCATCAATAAAAGGAAACTTCCAGCTAGCTATATTATTATCAAAAGTATTTGTGAGACAAAGAGTATTACCAGAGAAAGTGAGTGGGTTTTTTTTTCATGACGATGAAGGGATCAATTTATCAAGAGGGCATAATCTTAAATATGTATGTACTTAATAAAAGAACTTCAAAATATCTTAACCAAAATTGATAGAACTTCAAGGAGGAATAGAAAAATCCATAATTACAATCAGCTATTTAACACCCCTCCCTCATTAATTGATTTAACAAGTAGACAGAAAATCATTCATGGTAAAGGTTACTTGAACAATACTAACAATCCAGCTTGACCTAATTCACATCTACAGAATCTTCCACCCATCAGCAGGATACATCTTTTTTTCATGTGCACATGAAACATTTATCAAAATAGACCACCTTCTGACTCTGAAATAAGTCTCAAAAAATCTAAAAGAATGTGTTCTCTGGTCACAATAAAATTAGAAATCAATAACTGAAAGGCATCTAGTAAATTTCCCCACATATTTAGAATTTAGAATTTAAGTAATGTGTATAAATAATCCATTGATCAAAGGAATCAAAGTAGAATTTAGAAAGCATTCTGAGCTGAATGAAAATGAAAACAAAACATCAAAATTTGTGGTATGCTGTTAAGCAAAAATTTGAGGAAAATTTACAGAATTAAAGGTTAATAATCAAAAAAAAGTTGTCATATCAGCTTCCCCTTTAATAAAATAGAAAAAGAGGAGCAATGTAAACCTATAATAAGCAGAATAAAAGAAATTAACACGAGGAGAAATCAATGAAATAGAAATTTGAAAAAATAGTAGAAAAGATCAACGACTCAAAAGAGGTTTATTGAAACCAATACAGTAGACTCCCCTTATCCATAATTTTGCTTTCTGTGGGTTCAGTTACCCACAGTATATAGTATAATAAAATGCAAAACTGATAAATCCCTAGCCACTCTGATCAGGGAAAAAATGAAGACACAAATTGCCAATTTCAGAAATGAAAGAAGGGGTATCACTGCAAAGTCTGCAAATATTAAAAGAAAAATAAGAAAATATTGTAAACAGTATTTGTCATGCCTCTGAGCCCAAGCCTGCACATATACATCCAGATGGCCTGAAACAACTGAAGAATCACAAAAGAAGTGAAAATGGTCAATTCTTGCCTTAACTGATGACATTACCTTGTGAAATTCCTTCTCCTGGCTCAGAAGGTCCCCCACTGAGCACCTTGTGACCCCCGCCCCTGCCCACCAGAGAACAACCCCTGCCCCACCCCTAACTCCCTTTGCTGACTCTCTTTTCCGACTCAGCCTGCCTGCACCCAGGTAATTAAAAAGCTTTATTGCTCACACAAAGCCTGTTTGGTGACCTCTTCACATGGATGTGCGTGACATTTGGTGCCATGACTTGGATCGGGGGACATCCCTTGGGATATCAATCCCCTGTCCTCCTGCTCTTTGCTCCATGAGAAAGAGCCACCTACAACCTCTGGTCCTCAGACCAATCAGCCCAAGGAACATCTCACCAATTTTAAATCAGGTAAGCGGCCTCTTTCTATTCTCTTCTCTAACCTCTCTCACTATCCCTCAACCTCTTTCTCCTTTCAATTTTGGTGCTACCCTTCAATCTCTCCCTTCCCTTAATTTCAGTTCCTTTCACTTTCTGGTAGAGACAGAGGAGATGTGTTTTATCCGTGAACCCAAAACTCCAGCACCGGTCACGGACTCAGGAAGACAGTCTTCCCTTAGTGTTTAATCACTGCAGGGATGCCTGCCTGATTATTCACCCACATTTCAGCGGTGTCTGATTACCATGGGGATGCCTGCCTTGATCCTTCACCTTGGTGGCAAGCACCACCTCCCAAGGGGGCAAGTACCCCCCCCCCCCCACCTCTTCTCTCTTTGTCTCTACCCTCTCTTTGCTCCTTCACTATGGGCAATCTTCCACCTTCCATTCCTCCTTCTTCTCCCTTAGCCTGTGTTCTCAAGAACTTAAAACCTCTTCAACTCACACCTGACCTAAAACCTAAGTGCCTTATTTTTTTCTGCAATAACACTTGACCCCAATACAAACTCGACAATGGTTCCAAATAGCCAGAAAATGGCACTTTCAATTTCTCCATCCTACAAAATCTAGATAATTCTTATGGAAAAATGGGCAAATGGTCTGAGGTGCCTGACGTCCAGGTATTCTTTTACACATCAGTCCTTCCCTAATCTCTGCTCCCAATGCAACTCATCCCAAATCTTTCTTCTTTCTCTTCTGTCTGTTCCTTCAGTCTCCACCCCAAGCTCTGAGTCCTTTGAATTCTCCTTTTCTATGGACTCATCTGACCTCTCCCCTCCTCCCCAGGCTGCTCCTTGCCAGACTGAGCCAGGTCCCAATTCCTCCTTGGCCTCCACCCTATAATCCTTCTATCACCTCCCTTCCTAACACCTGGTCCAACTTACAGTTTCATTCTGCAACTAGCCCTCCCCCACCTGCCCAAAAATTTCCTCTTAAAGAAGTGGCTGCATCTAAAGGCATAGTCAAGGTTAATGCTCCTTTTTTTTTATCTGACCTCTCCCTATCCGACCTCTCCCAAATCAGTTAGCGTTTAGGCTTTTCTTCATCAAATATAAAAGCTCAGCCCAGTCCATGGCTTGTTTGGCAACAACCCTTAGATGCTTTACAGCCTTGGACCCAGAGAGGCCAGAAGGGGCCATCTTATTCTCAATATGCATTTTATTACCCAATCCACTCCCGACATTAAAAAAAGCTCCAAAAATTAAATTCCGGCCCTCAAACCCCACAGCAAGACTTAATTAACCTTGCCTTCAAGGTGTGCAATAATAGAGAAGAGTTGCAATTACTTGCTTCCACTGTGAGAAAAATCCCAGCCACAACTCCAGCACACAAGAACTTCAAAATGCCTGAACTGCAGTGGCCAAGGGTTCCTCCAGGACCTCCTCCCCCAGGATCTTGCTTCAAGTGCCAAAAATCTGGCCACTGGGTCAAGAAATGCCCGCAGCCCGGGATTCCTCCTAAGCCATGTCCCATCGGTGTGGGACCCCACTGGAAATCGGCCTGTCCAACTCACCTGGCAGCCACTCCCAGAGCCCCTAGAGCTCTGGCCCAAGGCTTTCTGACTGACTCCTTCCCAGATCTGCTCGGCTTAGCGGCTGAAGACTGATGCTGCCTGATCTCCTTGGAGGCCCCCTGGACCATCACGGACGCTGAGCTTCGGGTAACTCTCACAGTGGACAGTAAGTCCATCCCCTTCTTCATCAATACGGAGGCTATCCACTCCACATTACCTTCTTTTCAAGGGCCTGTTTCCCTTGCCTCCATTACTGTTGTGGGTGTTGACGGCCAGACTTCTAAACCTCTTAAAACTCCCCATCTCTGGTGCCAACTCGGACAACATTCTTTTGTGCACTCCTTTTAAGTTATCCCCACCTGCCCAGTTCCCTTATTAGATCGAGGCATTTTAACTAAATTATCTGCTTCCCTGACTATTCCTAGGCTACAGCCACACCTCATTACCGCCCTTTTCCCCAGTTCAAAGCCTCCTTCGCATCCTCCCCTTGTATCTCCCCACCTTAACCCACAAGTATAGGACATCTCTACTCCCTCCTTGGCGACCGATCATGCACCCCCTACCATCCCATTAAAACCTAATCAACCTTACCCCACTCAATGCCAATATCCCATCCCACAGTACGCTTTAAAAGGATTAAAGCCCGTTATCACTCGCCTTTACAGGATGGCCTTTTAAAGCCTATGAACTCTCCTTACAATTCCCCATTTTACCTGTCCAAAAACTGGACAAGTCTCACAAGTTAGTTCAGGATCTGCGCCTTATCAACCAAATTGTTTTGCCTATCCACCCCATGGTGCCAAACCTATGTACCCTTCTATCCTCAATACCTCCCTTCACAACCCATTATTCTGTTCTGGATCTCAAACATGCTTTCTCTACTATCCCTTTGCGCCCTTCACCCCAGCCTATCTTCACTTTTACTTGGACTGACCCTGACACCCATCAGGCTCAGCAAACTACCTGGGCTGTACTGCCACAAAGCTTCATGGACAGCCCCCATTACTTCAGTCAAGCCCAAATTTCTTCCTCATCCATTACCTATCTCGGCATAATTCTTCATGAAAACACACATGCTGTCCCTGCTGATCATGTCTGGCTAATCTCCCAAACCCCAACCCCTTCTACAAAACAACAACTCCTTTCCTTCCTAGGCATGGTTAGGTACTTCTACCTTTGGATACCTAGTTTTACCATCCTGACTAAACCATTATATAAACTCACAAAACAAAAAACAAACAAACACAAAACCTAGCTGACCCCATAAATCCTAAATACTTTCCCCATTTCCCTTTCCATTCCTTAAAAAACAGCCCGAAAAGCTGCTCCCAAACTAGTTCTCCCTAATTCATCCCAACCCTTTTTCATTACACACAGCCGAAGTGCAGGGTTGTGCAGTTGGAATTCTTACACAAGAGCCGGGATCACGCCCTGTAGCCTTTCTGTCCAAACAACTTGACCTTACTGTTTTAGGCTGGCTACCACATTATTCCTGATACCACACCTGACCCCCATGACTGTGTCTCTCTGATCCACCTGGCATTCACTTGATTTCCCCATATTTCCTTCTTTCCTGTTCTCACCCTGATCACACTTGGTTTATCAATGGCAGTTCCACCAGGCCTAATTGCCACTCACCAGCAGAGGCAGGCTATGCTGTAGCAGTATCTTCCACATCTATCCTTGAGGCTACCACTCTGCCCCCCTCCACTATCTCTCAGCAAGCTGAACTCATTGTCTTAACTCGAGCTCTAACTCATGCAAAGGGACTACACGTCAATATTTATACCGACTCTAAATATGCCTTCCATATCCTGCACCACCATGCTGTTCTATGGGCTGAAAGACGTTTTCTCACTATCCAAGTGTCCTCCATCATTAATGCCTCTTTAATAAAAATTCTTCTCAAGGCCCCTTTACTTCCAAAGGAAGTTGGAGTCATTCACTGCAAGGGTCATCAAAAGGCATCAGATCCTACTGCTCAGAGCAACAGTTATGCTGATAAGGTAGCTAAGGAAGCAGCTAGCATTCCAACTTCTGTCCCTCATGGCCAGTTTTACTCTTCATCGGTCACTCCCACCTACCCTCCCACTGAAACTTCCACCTAACAATCTCTTCCTACACAAGGCAAATGGTTCTTGGACCAAGGAAAATATCTCCTTCCAGCCTCACAGGCCCATTCTATTCTGTCATCATTTCATAACCTCTTCCATGTAGGTTATAAGCTGCTAGCCTGCCTCTTAGAACCTCTCATTTCCTTTCCATCGTGGAAATCTATCCTCAAGGAAATCACTTCTCAATGTTCCATCTGCTGTTCTACTACTCCTCAGGGATTGTTCAGGCCACCTCCCTTCCCTACACATCAAGCTCGAGAATTTGCCCCTGCCCAGGACTGGCAAATTGACTTTACTCACATGCCCAAGTCAGGAAACTAAAAAACCTCTTGGGCTGGGTAGACACTTTCACTGGATGGGTAAAGGCTTTCCCACAGGGTCTAAGAAGGCCACCATGGTCATTTCTTTCCTTTTATCAGACATAATTCCTCAGTTTGGCCTTCCTACCTCTATACAGTCCAATAACAGACCGGCCTTTATTAGTCAAATCACCCAAGCAGTTTCTCAGGCTCTTAGTATTCAGTGGAATCTTCATACCCCTTACCATCCTCAATCTTCAGGAAAAGTAAAACAGACTAATGGTCTTTTAAAGACACACCTCACCAAGCTCAGCCTCCAACTTAAAAAGGACTGGACAGTACTTTTACCTCTTGCCCTTCTCAGAATTAGAGACTGTCCTTGAGATGCTACAGGGTATAGTCCATTTAAACTTTTATATAGACGCACTTTCTTGCTCTGCCCCAATCTCGTCCCAGACACAAGCCCTCTAGGTGACTACCTTCCAGTCCTCCAGCAGGCTAGACAGAAAATTTGCCAGGCTGCTAATCTTCTCTTGCCTACTCCAGATTCCCAACTACGTAAAAACACCCTAGCTGGATGATCATTTCTTGATAAAAATCTGACCCCTCAAACACTACAACCCGGATGAACCAGACCCTACTTAATCATCTATAGTACCCCAAATGCCATCTGCCTGCAGGATCCTCCCCACTGGGTTCACCATTCCAGAATAAAGCTGCATCCGTTTGACAGCCAGCTTAGGCAGCCTAATCTCTCCTCTTCCTCCTGGAAGTCGCAAGTACTCTCCCCTACTTGCCTTAAACTCACTTGCATTTCTGAAGAACAGTAATAACCTTCATGAGCCTAATACATCCCTTCATTCTATTAGGTCTATTCGTCCTTACCCCACTTTTTGTAACAGGGCTTTACCCAGGCACCACCACTACTTGGACTGTGCCCCCAAAAACTTGTCATCCCTACTATCTTCTGTCTAGTCATATGCCTATTCACCATTCTCAACTACTCATAAATGCCCTGCTCTTGTTTACACTGCCGATTTACACTGTTTCTCCAAGCCATCACAGCTGATATCTCCTGGTGCTATCCCCAAACCGCCACTCTTAACTCCCTCTTAAAATAAATAAATAATCTTTACTGGCAGGGCACCCTCCAATACTTTCACCCTGATGAAGTCCTATTATTTACTTTTATACTCACTCTTATTCTCGTTCCCGTTCTTATGCCACCCTCTACCTCTCCCCAGCTATCTCCACCACACTATCAATCTCACTCACTTTATCCTAGCTATTTCTAATCCTTCTTTAACAAACAATTGCTGGCTTTGCATTTCTCTTTCCTCCAAAATCGCCCAGGCCTTGACTTACTCACTGCTAAAAAGAAAGGGGGGACTTTGTGTATTTTTAAATGAAGAGTGTTATTTTTACCTAAATCAATCTGGCCTGGTGTATGACAACATAAAAAAACTCAAGGATAGAGCCCAAAAACTTGCCAACCAAGCAAGTAATTACACTGAACCCCCTTGAGCACTCTCTAATTGGATGTCCCGGGTCCTCCCAATTCTTAGTCCTTTAATACCTATTTTTCTCCTTCTCTTATTTGGACCTTGTGTCTTCTGTTTAGTTTCTCAATTCATACAAAACCACATCCAGGCCATCACCAATCATTCTATATGACAAATGCTCCTTCTAACAACCCCACAAAATCACCCCTTACCACAAAATCTTCCTTCAGCTTAATCTCTCCCACTCTAGGTTCCCACGCTGCCCCTAATCCCGCTCGAAGCAGCCCTGAGAAACATCACCCATTATCTCTCCATACTACCCCCAAAAATTTTCACCGCCACAACACTTCAATACTATTTTGTTTTATTTTTCTTATTAATGTAAGAAGACAGGAATGCCAGGCCTCTCAGCCCAAGCCTGCACATATATATCCAGATGGCCTGAAGCAACTGAAGAATCACAAAAGAAGTGAAAATGGCCAGTTCCTGCCTTAACTGATGACATTATCTTGTGAAATTCCTTCTCCTGGCTCAGAAGCTCCCCCACTGAGCACCTTGTGACCCCTGCCCCTGCCCACCAGAGAACAACCTCCTTTGACTGTAATTTTCCACTACCCACCCAAATCCTATAAAACTGTCCCACCCCCATCTCCCTTATTGACTCTCTTTTCGGACTCAGCCTGCCTGCACCCAGGTGATTAAAAAGCTTTATTGCTCACACAAAGCCTGTTTGGTGGTCTCTTCACATGGACGTGCATGACAATATTCACAATATTCAAAACTGGGCTACTGCACAGTTGTCTTTAACATCATCGTGAGATGATGTTAAACGTTAAGAATTCTCTTTAACGTCATCCTGAGGATTACCTCTTTCCTTCTTTTATGCCCAGTTCATGGTCTGCTTAGCAACAACCCTTAGATGCTTTACTGCCCTAGACCCAGAGGCCAGAAGGCCGCCTTATTCTTAATATGCATTTTATCACCCAGTCAGCTCCTGACATTAGAAAAATCTTCAAAATTGGAATCGGGCCCTCAAACCCCACAACAGGAATTAATCAACCTCCCCTTCAAGGTGTACAATAATAGAGAGGAGGTAGCCACACAATAATGCATTTCTGAGTTACAGCTACTTGCCTCTGCTGTAAGTCAATCCACAACCACGTCTCCAGCATACAAAAACTTCAGAACATCCAAGCCACAGCTCCCAGGGACTCCTTCAAAACATCCTCGTGGACCTTGCTTCAAATGCCAAAGCCTGGCCACTGGGCCTCAGAATGCCCGCAGCCTGGGATTCCTCCTAAGCCGTGCCCTGTCTGTGCAGGCACCCACTGGAAATCGGACTGACTCACATTGCCGCTGCTCCTAAAGCCCCTGGAGCCCAAACCCAACGTTCCTTGGCTGACTCCTTCCCAGATCTCCTCAGCTTAGCAGCTGAAGACTGATGCTGCCTGATCGCCTCGGAAGCCCCCGGACCATCATGGATGCCAAGCCTTGGGTAACTCTTACAGTGGAGGGTAAGTCCGTCCCCTGTTTAATCAATATGGGGGCTACCCATTCCACATTACCTTCTTTTCAAAGGCCTGTTTCCCTTGCCCCCATAACTGTTATGGGTATTGACAGCCAAGCTTCAAAACCCCTTAAAACTCCCCCACTCTGGTGCCAACTTGGACAACATTCTTTTATGCACTCTTTTTTAGTTATCCCCACCTGCCCAGTTCCCTTATTAGGCCGAGACATTTTAACCAAATTATCTGCTTCCCTGATTATTCCTGGACTACAGCCACATCTCATTGCCACCCTTCTTCCCAGCCCAAAGCCTCCTTCACGTCTTCCTCTAGTATCCCCCACCTTAACCCACAAGTATGGGACACCTCCACTCCCTCCCTGGCAACCGATCACATGCCCATTACTATCCCATTAAAACCTAATCACCCTTACCCAGCTCAACACCAGTATCCCTTCCCACAGCAGGCTTTAAAAGGATTAAAGCCTGTTATCACTCGCCTGTTACAGCATGGGCTTCTAAAACCTATGAACTCTCCTTACAACTCTCCCATTTTACCTGTTCAAAAACCAGACAAGTCCTACAGGTTAGTTCAGGATCTGTGCCTTATCAACCAAATTATTTTGCCTATCCACCCTGTGGTGCCCAACCCGTACACTCTTTTGTCCTCAATACCTTCCTCCACAACTTACTATTCCATTCTTGATCTTAAAGATGCTTTTTTCACTATTCCCCTACACCCCTCATCCCAGCCTCTCTTTGCTTTTACCTGGACTGACCCTCACACCCATCAGTCCCAGCAACTTACCTGGGCTGTACTGCCACAAGGCTTCAGGGACAGCCCTCATTACTTCAGCCAACCTCTTTCTCAAGATTTACTTTCTTTCCACCCCTCCGCTTCTCACCTTATTCAATATATTGATTACCTTCTACTTTGTAGCCCCTCCTTTGAATCTTCTCAAAAAGACAACCTCCTGCTCCTTCAACATTTATTCTCTAAGAGATATTGGGTATCCCCCTCCAAAGCTCAAATTTCTTCTCCATCCTTTACCTACCTTGGCGTAATTCTTCATAAAAACACACATGCTCTCCCTGCTGATCATGTCTGACTGATCTCTCAAACCCCAACCCCTTCTACAAAACAACTCCTTTCCTTCCTGGGCATGGTTGGATACTTTCGCCTTTGGATACCTGGTTTTGCCATCCTAACAAAACCATTATATAAACTCACAAAAGGAAACCTAGCTGACCCCATAGATCCTAAATCCTTTCCCCACTCCCCTTTCTGTTCCTTGAAGATAGCTTTAGAGACTGCTCCCACACTAGCTCTCCCTGACTCATCCCAACCCTTTTCATTACACACAGCCCAAGTGCAGGGCTGTGCAGTCAGAATTCTTACACAAGGACTGGGACCGCACCCTGTAGCCTTTTTGTCCAAACAACTTGACCTTACTGTTTTAGGCTGGCCATCATGTCTCCATGCGGTGGCCGCCACTGCCCTAACACTTTTAGAGGCCCTCAAAATCACAAACTATGCTCAACTCACTCTCTACAGTTCTCACAACTTCCAAAATCTATTTTCTTCCTCACACCTGACACATATATTTTCTGTTCTCCAATTCCTTCAGCTGTACTCACTCTTTGTTGAGTCTCCCACAATTACCATTGTTCCTGGCCCAGACTTCAATCTGGCCTCTCACATTATTCCTGATACCACACCTGACCCCCATGACTGCATCTCTCTGATACACCTGGAATTGACTCCATTTCCCCATATTTCCTTCTTTCCTGTTCCTCACCCTGATCATACCTGGTTTATTGATGGCAGTTCCAGCAGGCATAATCGCCATACACCAGCAAAGGCAGGCTATGCTATAGTATCTTCCACATCTATCATTGAGGCTACCACTCTGCCCCCCTCCACTACCTCTCAGCAAGCCAAACTCATTGCCTTAACTCGAGCCCTCATTCTTGCAAAGGAATTATGTGTCAATATTTATATTGACTCTAAATATGCCTTCCATATCCTTCACCACCATGCTGTTATATAGGGAGAAAGAGGTTTCCTCACTACACAAGGGTCCTCCATCATTCTCAGCAAACTGACACAGGAACAGAAAACCAAACACCACACATTCTCACTCATAAGTGGGAGTTGAACAGTGAGAACACAGACACAGGGAGGGGAACATCACACACCGAGGCCTGCTGGCGGGTGGGAGACAAGGGGAGGGATAGCATTAGGAGAAATACCTAATGCATGTGGAGTTTAAAACCTAGATGATGGGTTGATAGGTGCAGCAAACCACCATGTCACATATATACCTATGTAACAAACCTGCACATTCTGCACATGTATCCCAGAACTTAAAGTATAATAAAAAAGGAAAGAAATACGGTTTTCTTTTTAATTGCTGTGGTTTGAATTGGATTTCAATTACTTGATGAAAACGTTACCAGACACCTCTCATACACCACTTTAAATTTTCTCATCCAACCCCTTACTCTAGCCAGGGTTGCAGCAACCAGCCCTACTTCCCTTTGAATAGCTCCATGCTGATGTCATCTGACAGCATCTCACTTGAGGCTGCCCTGAGTACCTCTCACTCCTGCCCCTGGGATTCTCTCATGCTGCAGCATGGAGCATCCATGAAAATCCACTTGATGTCCATGCATGTGCAATCTGCAAGTACAGATAAATTCTCACCCTTGAGGTTACCCTTGACTAATTGGAGACCCGAACCAGTGAATAAATGCTTCCTAAATAGATGGCTCCGATGCTCATTTCATGAAGTTCCTCAGGCGATCCTGCAGAATCAAGCACAGTCACGCACAGTGAAGCCAGCTTAAGAGCACGTCCATGTTTTGGCTTTCCCTAGTTTCCTGCTAAATGGCTCTTATTCTTCACTCTGGAACCCTGAGATCACTTTCCAAATAAACTTCTTTCATGACATGCTTTCACTCAGGCTCTGCTTGGAGAGAAATTCTGGCTAATCACTTTAATTTTACCAATTTTTTAAATTCCACAATTTAAAAAAAGCCTTGTCCATAAACTATGTGAAAACCCTCTATTGGCTATAATAGCAAAATATGAATTATTGGCTATAATAGCAAAATATGAATTATTGGCTATAATACCAAAATATGATTATTGGCTATAATACCAAAACATGAATTAAGGTTTTCATTTTCCCTAAAATTTTTGAAAATTATTTCCTTAATCTCTAATTTATTTGTTAATGGACTAGACTAGGAGGTGTTGAGCAAATGCCAGTTGTTCTGTTCAGAAAATGCTATTTGCTGTGTATTCTTTAAATACTTGGCATGGGCTTATAATTTGGTGACTGATTTGCTTTTTTAGCAATAACAGCAGTAACTCATTAAGGCAGTTATGCATAATGTTACTACATTTTAATATTATTATTAAGATAACCAACTTAGTACTTGAATACCAAGGAATGGTAATGCCCATTTTATTACCTATGAATAGAAGGGGTGGGTGAAAAAAATAAATCAGCAATTAACATCAGAAAACATCATGGGACTTTCATTTATTATTTACTTACAAATTGCATTGAAATCTTCTTTAAGAACCTTGTGAGGTTAGTTCTGTAAATTGCACATTGGCATACCAGCCGGTAAGGAAGAACTTACTTCCTTACTGGAGAAGTTGGAGAAATTTAATATTTTGCTTATAACCCTTAGTCATGTTATTTCAAAGATGTGATCCAAGGTTACAGTCATGTGGTAACCATATTATTTTTTAAGAGACCCTAAAATTAAGCAGAATGTTACTTCCCAATTACCCAACAATTATCTCAAATGAATGGTAGCAGGCAAAACACACACACACACACACACAGAGGCAAACTCAAACTACCTCTGATGCCCCAAACCCAAGATAAGCCCATTCAGCATGTTGAAGCTAAGCCCAAACCACTTCCTTATGAAATTGGAGCCTTCCTTAAGCTACCAAGACCAGTTCAGAACCACCACAATTTTGCTAAGACCAAACTAATGGTAAGTTTTGTGTTATATTTAAAGGTGCCAGTAGAATATATCACTGATAACTCACCATTATAACTAGAAATAAAATAACTAGTTTGATCATTTTAAATTGAAGGGCAGTAATTAAGTTGACACCAAGAATTGCGGTCTGTTTTCCAAGTAATAACTATAATCTTACAACTGGTATAATCTTACAACTCGTATACCTACAATAGGTATAATCTTGCAGCTGACTGAAAACTTAGCACTAGGAAATGTTCTTTCAAAATGGACTCAAAAGCTTAATGTCTTGAAATGGTTTGAATTTACAACTGAAAGTACACAGAAAGATATCTTTTGGTAAATGTTAGTATTGAAACATAGATACACTAAAGAGCACTGTATATACAATAAAGAACACAGCTCAACAAATTTTTATAAATTTGAATGCACCCAGGTCACCACCATCTACATCAAGATAGAGAGCATTATTAGAATATTAGAATCCCAGAAGCCTCCTATCCTCTCTCAATCATCCTCAATCATTATTCCTCCAAAGGTAACCAATATTCTGACTTCTATCACCATAGTTTTAGCTTTGGTTGTTGTTGAAGTTTATATGAATGGAATCATACATTATCACATACTCTTGTGTCTAGTTTTTTGAAACCTTTTTTCAATTGATATATAATAGTTGTACAAATTTTGGAGGTACATGTGATTTTTGATACACCTACATAATGTGTAATGATAAACTCAGAATAATTGGAATATCCACCACTTCATACATTTATATTTTCTTTGTCTTGAGAACATTCTAATATTTCCTTTCTAGCTATTTTAAAATATGTAACAAGTAAACTATAATCTCCTGACTCTCCTATCGAATAATAGAATTTATTCTATCTATCTAACTGTAGTTTTATACCCATTTATCAACTTCTCTTTGCCTCCTTCTACCCTTCCCAGCCTCTGTCTGGCTTTTTTGACCAATATCTTATCTATAAGATTTATCCATATTTTTACTTGTAGCCATGGTTTGATATTTTTTAGTGCTGTATAATATCCCATTATTAAATTTATCACAATTCATTTGTATTTTCTACTTCTGATGGACATTTGGGTATTTCCAGTTTGAGAATCTTACAAATAATGCTAATATAAACATTTTTATGTATTCTGATGAATATATAAATTTCTGTTGTGTATATATCTAATATTAGAATTTCTGTATCATAAGGTATGTTTATGTTTAGCTTTGGTAGGTTTTCAAATAGTTTTTTTAAAGTAGTTGTACTAATTTACATCCTCCCTGCCCCTAGCAGTGTAGGAAAGTGTTGTTTATACCCTTACCAATAATTGTCCACTTTTTATTTTTTTTTAATTTCAGTGACTTTACTCATTCACTTGTCAAACCTGGTTGTTTGTAGATTCTTTTTGATTTTCTATGTACAAAATCCACATTATCTCCAAATAATTACTTTTTTAAAATTCATAATTTTTATGACTTTGGTTTTTTTGTTTATTCTATTGCACTAACCATGTGTTCCTGTACAGCATTAAGTGGGAGTGGTGGTACTGAACACTGTTGTGTTATTTCAGACTTTAGGGGAGAAGCCATTCACTATTTCCCCCATTAAGTAAGTAGCTGTAAGTTTTTTAAAGATGGTCATTAATAGTTTGATTTTTTAAAATTTCTAGTTCCTAAGAGATTTTAGCATGAATGAGTGTTGAATTTTTTCAAATGCTTTCTCTGCATCTACTGAGATAATCACATTGTTTTCTTATATTATTTTTACTGTGGTATCTTATGAAGATTAAAATTTTAATATTAAATCAATCACACATTCCTAGAATAGATTCAATTTGGTCATGATGTATTTGATGTGTGAATATTTTATTTAAGATTTTTGGGTCTATGTTTATATAAGAAATTGGCTTTTAGGTTTTGCTTTTTGTAATATCCTTGCTAGGTTTTAATTTCAAGATTACGCTGTCCTCATAAAATGAGTTCCCTCATTTTTTTATCCTTTGTCTTTTCTCCTTGGGCATAACATTTTAAGGAGTTTCAAATGAATCTGGAGTGTTTATGAAGGCCCCTCCTTGGCAAGTCTGAATTCTAGTTTTTCCTCAGTACTAATAGATTGCCAAAATACCTGCAGCTCAGTTTCTTAGCCTCTTAGCAACTGTAATCTGCTGGCTTTCTCTGTGTCTCCTTCTGTGCACCCACAGCTTAGAAGTCATCAAATGGCACAAGGGAAACTGCATACAAAATGCTGGGTTTAATTCTCTACAGCTTTCTTTTCTCAGCACAGGGTGATTTCAAGTCCTATTCGTCTTAGTAGCTCTAAATTCCAATTTTTATACCCCTTTCCCAGTGAAGCTGCCAGAGCTCTAGGATGCTGCTTTCCTTCCAGCCTGTGTCCCATGTTCTCAGGAGTAAAAGCAGTAGCAAATGTAGGACTCACCTTAATATTCTTTTATTCACTACAAGATCCCAGCCCTTCAAATCCTGGCTTTCTAGATTACTCTCCAATGACTTAAGATGGTTGTTTTAGTTTGTTTTGCTTTGCATTTTATCCAGCCTTTATAGTTAATATAGCAGAAACACACTAGGCTGATAAGAGCTACTCCATCATAGCTAGAGTCAGAACCCCTTAATAGAGCTCTGCAATAGATGCTCATGAGGCATCACCACTCACTCTATCATTTCACATCTGGAACAGGCTGTTCTTTTGCTGAGGTTAGGAGTTTGTGCCCAGTTAGGGGCAGGATGAAAGACTTTGTCTCACTCTCCTGAGCCCTGTAATTGTTCACTGAATGGGAGTCATCTTCATGGTCCATTGGTGTTGCCTCCAGACAGCAGATTTTTTTAATAGTGATATTTATGGGGCTATTTATTGGGGCATAATTTTATCCAAACTGGATTTCTCAATTCTGCCCAATTGACACTAAAACAGGAGATACTATATGGCATAATAAGTTTGCTTATTTGTTTTTCTGTTCAAACAGCTACCATTTTCTCCTATATAGAGGAAAGATAAATATTACCTCATAAATCAGAAATATGAATCTACCACCTGAGCAATAATAACATATATACCTGTGATTGATTCATTACCTGCAACTTCAGCAGCCACAATATTTCAAAAGATGTTTATAGCATAAATTTCTTCCACATGGGCCCCAACCCATGTCCTATTAATGCTAACCATATACAGTCAGAAATTCATAACAAAGTCAAGAGGAATCCTCTGGACAATCTATTTCCTGATTTTTTTCTGGAAGACTCCTACAAAACAGTAGCTTATATTGAATTTTAAAAGGGATAAATACCTATCAATTGAAATGTTATTCTGTCACTATGTATCTAAGAGTGGCATGGAGACAAATTTGCCTAATCTATAATAAAAATATTTTTTAATTTTAAAAATTTCTCTGAGTTTCTAGTTTTCTAAATCCTATGACAGAAAAACATTAACAGTGCATATTGGTAACTGGAAAGTTTATTGGCATTAATTTCTGAATAGCCATGAAAAGTGATAAAAATGAGGGGTGGAAAGAATTGGGGGGAAATCTGATTGTTGTTTACAAAGACGAATGGTCCCTGGTTCTAGGCCATTTTCATCTTATTGCTAAACCTATCTCCTTGGAGCCTCTCTTTTCTCTTTACATCTTCGATATCCTGGCAGGGCTTATTGTTCGCACTTTGTAACACTAAAGTCTACTGATGCGAATTGCTTTGCCAGAGTGGTTCACTTATGCAGATCTAGCCTTAAATGGCTCAGATTATGTGTGAATCAGCCCCAACAGAGAGATATCGTCCTTCTGTTGGGGTTCAGGACATCTATCCCGAAATATGGCAGCTTGGAAATTGAGAAAACAACAGAGGCAGAAAGGTCACTCTGATCTTCTCTCTTAGAGACCCTCATGTGTCAAGTGCTCTGCCCTACACCCAGAGGAAAGGAATGAAGACACCAAAATGCCAAAAAGAATCTGAATAACTCGGCCTTGCTAAGTTCTCCCAGTTTATTACTATTAGAGCACACCCCCTTTTGTCCAATCATACTTCTACATGACTGTCCACTCTTCATCAAATCTGCATAAAAACACAGTTTTCCCCATGTCTTTGGGACTACATTTCTGAAGGCTCCTATCTCATGTAAAATTTTGGTTAAATAAGTTTGTCATGTTTTTCTCTTGTTAATCTGTCTTTTGTTATAGGGGTGTCAGCCATGAGCCTTGCAATGGGTAAGGAAAACATTATTTTTCCCCTGCATTTCACATATACCAACAGTGAACAGCAACGTCTGGGACCACCCTCATCTTCAGTTCCTTATTGAAGACATGACCAAAATATCACCAGCCTTCAGAGTAGGTGACAAAATGAAAACATGTAGTCACACTTCTGCTTTAAGACAGGGGATGAATTAATGACAAACTGAAATGATCTTTCTTTCTAAACACCTCTAATTAGTTAATGCCACATTAACTTATAAGATAATTGTTATGTCACCTATTTACGGACTGTGCTACAGTATGAGAAAAACCAAGTATTTTCTTAACGAACTTCTGAGACACTGGGCAATAGGAGAAAACAATTCACAAAGAGGAGAAAGTAGTTTCTCCAAAACCTTAAATGTCAATCAACAAATGTATACTAAAAGTCGTAGGGGATACAAAGACTTTAATTCCTGTTTTTAGGGAATCTGGGGACTAATTAGGAAACAAAATGGTGGCTGTAGAATAACGATAATAAATAACACACTTCATAAGAGCTGGGGGCTTTCTCCCAAGTCTGACAGCACTCATTGGCAATGCATAATTTTTAATTTGAATTTCTCTCTACCCAAATATATTATAGGCTTCTTGAGGACAGAAACTATGTTTTCTTCATAAAACCTGAAACAATACTCTATAAATATTTGTTGATTGGAAAGGTTTTTCCTTTTTTTTTTTTTTTTGAGACAAGGTCTCACTTTGTCACTCAGGCCAGGATGCAGTGGCATGATCACAGCTCACTGCAGCCAGCCTTGACCTGCTGGGCTCAAGTGATCCTCCCATCTCAGCCTTCTGAGTAGCTGGGACTGGAGGTGTGGGTCACCAGGCCTTCTAATTTTTTTTATTTTTTGTAGAGATGGGGTCTTGCCATGTTGCCCAGGCTGGTCTCAAACTCCTGGGCTCAAGCGATCCTTTCACCTCAGCCTCCCAAAGTGCTGGGATTACAGGTATGAGCCACCACACCCAACCAATTCAAAAGGTTTTGATGTAGTCAGGGCAACTCCATGCAAATTCCCTTTCAGAGCAAATTCATTGTTTCAAGTGTGTGTGCACACACACTAAGCAGTATTTCTGACCTCTTGGAGTGTAGCAGAATGTAATACAGGCATACCTCAGATACACTGCAGGTTCACTTTCAAACCATCACAATAAAGTGAGTATCACTATAAATCAAGTCACACAAATTTTTGGTTTCACAGTGTGTATAAAAGTTATACTTAAACTATACCATAGTCTATTAAGTGTACAATACCACTATGTATTAAAAAACAATGTGCATGCCTTAACTTAAAAATGCTTTATTGCTAAAAATACTAACAACTATCTGAGCCTCACAAGTCGTAATTTTTTTTTGCTGGTGGAGGGTCCTGCCTTGATGTTGATGGTTGCTGATCGATCAGGGTGACGGTTGCTGAAAATTAAGGTGGCTGTGGCAATTACTTAAAATTAGACAATAATAAAGTTTGCCACATTGATTGACTCTTCCTTTCATGAAAGATTTCTCTGTAACATGTAATGCTGTTTGATAGCATTTTACCCACAGGAAAACTTCTTTCAAAACTGGAGCTGATCCTCAAAGCCCTGCCACTGCTTTATCAACTGTCTATAATATTCTAAATTTTTTGTTGTCATTTCAACAATGTTCACCACATCTTCACCAGGCATATATTCCATCTTAAGAAACCACTTTGTTTGCTCATTCGTTAGAAGTAACTCCTCATCTGTTAAAGTTTCATCATGACGTTGCAGCAATCCAGTCACATCTTCGGGCTCCACTTCTAATTCCAGTTATCTTGCTTTTTCCACCACATCTACAGTTACTTTCTCCACTGAAACCCCTCAAAGTCGTCCATGAAGCTTGGAATTAACTTCTTCCAAACTCCTGTTAATGTTGATATTTTGGCCACCTCCTGTGAATGAAGTGCTGATGAATCCTTTCCAGAAGATATTCAATTAATTTTGCTCAGATCCAGCAGAGGAATCACTATCTACAGCAGCTATTGCTTTACAAAATATATTTCTTAAATATGAAAATTTGAAAGTCGAAATTCTTCCTTGATCTATGGGCTGCATAATAGATGTTGTGTTAGCAGGCATGAAAACAACATTCATCTTGTTGCACATTTCCACTGGATCTCTTGGGTAACCAGCTGCATTGGCAATAAGCAGTAATATTTTGAAAGGAATCTTCTTTTGTGAGCAGCAGGTCTCAACAGTGGGCTTGAAATATTTAGTAAACCACGTTGTAAACAAATGTGCTATCATGTAGTCTTTGTTATTCCATTTAGAGCGCACAGGCAGAATGGAAAGCGAACAATGGCTTCAACTTGAAGTCACCAGCTGCATTAGTTCCTAACAAGAGAGTCAGCCTGTCCTGTGAAGCTTTGAAGCCAGGCACTGAGTTCTCCTCTCTAGGTATAAAAGTTCTAAATGGCATCTTCATCCACTGTAAGGCTGTTTTGTCTACACTGATACACTGTTGTTTAGTGTAGTCACCATCAGCAATGATCTTAGCTAGATCTCCTGGATAACTTGCTGGAGCTTCTCCATCAACACTTGCTGCCTAACCTTGCACTTTTATGTTATAGAGATGGCTTCTTTTCTTCAACCTATAAGCCAACCTCCACTAGCTTCAAATTTCTCTTCTGCAACTTCCTCATCTCTTTCCACTTTTGTAGAAATGAAGAAAGTTAGGAACTTACTCTGGATTAGGCCTTGGCCTAAGGGAACATTGGGGCTGGTTTGATCTTCTATCCAGACCACTAAAGTTTTCTCCATATCAGCAATAAGGCTTCTTTTGCTTTCTTATCATTCACGTGCTTATTAGTCATTAAAACTGGAGTAGCAGTTTTAATTTCCTTCAAGAACTTTTCCTTTGCAATCACAACTTGGCTAACTTTTTGGCACAAGAGACCTAACCTTTAGCCTATCTCGGCTTTCAACACACCTTTCTCACTAAGCTTAATTATTTCTTGCTTTAAAGTGAGAGATGGGTGACTCATTTTTTCACTTGAACACTTCGAGGCCATTATAGGGTTATTAATTGGCCTAAAGTCAATATCTCTGTGTCTCAGGGAAGAGGGAGGCCCAGGGAGAGGAAGAGAGATGAGGGAACAGCCAGTCAGTGCAGTAGTTAGAAGACACATAACATTTATCAATTAAGTTTGCTGTCTTATATGGGTTCAGTTTGTGATACCCCAAAACAGTTACAATACTATTATAGGAAAGGGGTCCCAACCCAGACCCCAAGAGGATCTTGGATATCGTGCAAAAAAGAATTTAGGGCGAGTCCATAAAGTGAAAGCAAGTTTATTAAGAAAGTAGAGGAGTAAAAGAATGGCTACTCCATAGACAGAGCAGCCCCAAGGGCTGCTGGTGGCCCATTTTTATGGTTATTTCTTCATGATGTGCTAAACAAGGGGTGGATTGTTCATGCCTCCCTTTTTTAGACCATAAAGGGTAACTTCCTGATGTTGCCATGGCATCTGCAAACTTTTATGGCACTGGTGGCAGTGTAGCAGTGAGGACGACCAGAGGTCACTCTCGTTGCCATCTTGGTTTTGGTGGGATTTGGCAGGCTTCTTTACTGCAAACTGTTTTATCAGCAAGGTCTTTATGACCTGTATCTTGTGCTGACCTCCTATCTTATCCTGTGATTTAGAATGCCTTAACTGTCTGGGAATGCAGCCCAGTAAGTCTCAGCCCCATTTTACCCAGCTCCTATTCAAGATAGAATTGCTCTGGTTCATACACCTCTGACAATACTAACATCAGAGATCACTGACCTCAGGTCACCATAACTGACATAATGAAAAAGTTTGAAAAACTGCAGGAATTCCCAAAATGTGCCACAGAGACACAAACTGAACACCAAGCTATTGGAAGAATGGTGCCAACAGACTTCTTGATGCAGGATTGCCAGAAACCTTTAATTTGTAAAAAATGCAGTACCTGCAAAGCACAATAAAGCAAAGTGCAATAAAACAAGTTGTGCCTGTTCTGTTTTTGTGGGAGTCCTATTAACATCGGGAAGGATACAACTGCCATTCAACCCACATATTTCTTCCAAAAAGATTCTTCTCTAAATGATTCAGAAATTATCTGTGAATTATTAATAAAAAGTTATTAAAGTTATGTGGATTTAGCTAGTGCAGTGCTAACTAGTGCAGTACTAACTAAATCCACATAAGCACTTGAATTTATACTTTTGGAGTTGACAGTCAACTACCCTCAAGCTTCCCAACCTGACTTGTATAATGAGGGCAGATATTCCTTTTAACTTCAGCATATGTGTAATTTTCCAAGGCAAGACATATGCAAAAAAAATCATATATGTAAAAGAAGATAATAGTTGCTACATTCAGTGGGAAGTTCCCAACAGTGCTCAAGAAAGAGTATCCTTTATGTAGATATCCGAAGTGTTTTAAAATACATTTTGCTATACTTTTCATTTTCAAATCACCTGAGGCTTAAGAGGTTATGTGTTTTATTTTGTTTTCCTTTTATGATGTAATTCTCTCTTGGGGAAATGCTTTTATTGTGTAATCAAGACTAAGATAAAACTGTTAGGGCCAGAGTAAATAGCAACTTTCCTTATGGATCGTTTGAATTGGTTGACTTTCAGAAGCATTCCACTCTGCTATGGAAGACTGGTTTTTCTAAACTTTAGATAATTCTAAGACAATGCCTGCCATATAAAAGTGGCTCAATTAATATCAATTGAGATTAGCTACTTCTGCAATTATCAATAATTAAAATATATTAATAAAAAAGCAGGAACACAGAGAAGAGTTATTAGAAAAAAACAGAAATCTCTTATTGAGAGAAGCAAAATATATAACAATAATGAATACAAGAAAGTTTCATTATTCTCATGACTTTGGTTGTATCAAATAAAATTGATGAGAGGCCATTGATTTGGACTTAGCTCCTAAGTCCGCAACAGACCAACCCAAAATGGTAGCACCAAACTGAAATCTAAGTTGTTCTTACTTGTAAGATCTGAGTTTCTGAGAAATCAGGAGCAAGATGATAGTCAAATCCCCAAGCAGTTTTCTAAAAAAAACAAATAGGAGATTCACAGCAACCAATCAAAAAGGCCCCTGCCTACCTAAACTGGCATGGTAAGAAAGTCTCCCCACAAGAAAAGTAACCTGAAATAACCTAACATTAACCAATCTGCTTTCTGCACTACGCTATCTCCTTTCCCCTGCTCAAGCTGTCTTAACAAAAACTGACTGTTCAGTCACTCCTGACAGAGCTTCTATTTAGTATACTGGATGCTGCCTGGTTCATGAATCCCTAATAGAAGTCAATTAGATCTTTAAAACTCAATTTGTTGAAACTTTGTTCTTTGACAGTTCCCAGCACACATATTAGATACATCATACTAGTTCTGTGAAACTAAAACCCTGATTAAAAGCTAAGATCTTTTGTCAGTAAGAAAATATTTGAATGTAAGGATCTTGTATGAATTGCTTGAAGTAGCATCATCAAAGACTATTCCTATATCTGTTACAAGCATATTTAGATATGTGCATGGATTCTGCACATGCATATATTAGTAGATAAATGGTAATAAGCACATTTTAAAAAATCTTTATTCAGAGGAGCTGAGATTTTGTGACTGGGAAAAAAACATTTCACATTCTACTTGTTAAATAAGATAGGAAAAGGATTAAAGAAATGATGCAAGAAAAAGCTTTGAAAAATACGGCACATTTGAAAACAATATTTCAAAATAAAGCATTTTATCTTCTTTTTACTGTAATGGGAGAGGCTTTGGTTTGCTTTCCCTAGGGGAATTTCAATTATAGTAAACCACCATTAGACTCTAATGCTCAAAACTGAGGTGATATATGGCATACTAGGTGTAAAAGTCAGAGGCCTTCACATCTGTTTTATTGCCCCTAATTCTTGCTGAAGGGCTTCCAGTAAAGATGTCCAAATGACAGGTCTTGATCTTCTCATGAAGACCAGGAGCTACTCAAAGTAAACACTTAACTCATAAAACTGTAGCATTTCCAGATTGGAAGTTTCACAAGCAGCAAACCCAGTGGTTTTTCCAAGTAGAAATTTCCTGAATAACAGGCCTCTATTTAATTGCTGCTAGTGACAAGAAGCTCACTACTTGGGTGCAGGGTGTTCATCACTAAGTCACTCCAGCTGAGCTAGAGCCTGCATTTTATATTTCTACTCATTGTTTTTGTTGGGGGGTATATGACACACTACCCCAAAATATGGCACCTTGGCATTTGATAAAACAGCAGAAGCAAAAACGTTCCTCTGACCTTCTCCCACCCTTTTCCCTTGAGGCAGGTCATAAAAAAATTCTCTGACCTTCCTCTGAAGTAGGTCATAAAACCTTCATTCCAGAGGTGCTCAACCTATACCTGGAAGAAAAGAAATGTCCTTATCCTCAGAGACACAGAGATACCAAGAAGAATCTGAACAAACAGTCCTTACAAAGTTCCCCCACAACTTGTTACCATTAGCACCAGACTATTTTATCCTCCAATCATATTTACCCATGACTGCCCATTCTTCATCAAACTTAAACATAAAAATACACAAGTTTACCTATTTATTTGGGTCTTTATTTCCAAAGGCTTCCATGTCATGGAAAACTTACATTAAATAAATTGTATGATTTTCTCTTATGAATTCTCTTTTGTGATGGGGACCTCAGCCGTGAACCTGAGATGGAAAAAAAAATTTCCTTTTCCCTACACTCCTACTTTTTCCATTTGAAAACATAGATAATAAACTGAATCATCTGACTGAATTAAATCCTTCAAGTGTTAGAAGAAAGCCTCCTATCCCCACTGTGCCATTTACTTCACTTTATTGTAATTGTTGTATCTTTACCACTAGATATTAAGCTATTTGGGCAGAAGTGTATCAGTTTTATTCATACTAGCATCTCTCAGCACAGTACTATCACACTATTATGATAGTAAGTACTCATAATATTTCTTAGACGCATAAATAAATTTCATTTATAGAATTGAGGCAAGAAAGTAGGCGTCAAGCTAGTTTCATTCATTCTTCTTTTTCATTCTTCTTTCCATTACCCTTTAGTCTCATTTCCCAGATGAACATAACATTATAACAGATTTACACATGTACTGGTGAATGAGGCAGGTTGAATGGTCTAAATCAATTTGACCACTCCAAAATATTAAGCCAATAAGTCAATTTGGTATTTACATTCCCAGAGTTCCTGATTTATAAAAAGTGTGGAAATATACATTAAAACTACCAGATGACTTTAAACCAAAAAGGATAAGCAATAATTGTTTATCCTTGTGGTCCAGAGAGTCTCGATGTTGCTTTCTCGAAAATAGAACTAAGCCTTTGTTGCTTCAGGTGACATCTTTGAACAAGGCTGCTGACTCAGTGACCTACAACATTAATTAGCCCTTAACAATTCATCCACTGCATGTGACCTCAGGAGAAAATTCCCGCCCTGTGTGTGGCCTTTGAGGTGAGTGATGACCCCATCTCAGTTTTTCTGGAAGATGAGACATTTCATTTTGGATGAAAGTAACTTTTGTAAACAAAAATCAGAAGGTGCAAACTCTCACCACAGATTCTGGCAGCAAATGAACCTGAAATACTTCAAAATTGAGCTCAGGGATTAGTCAAGAAAAGAGCCAAAGGTTGAGAAGCTATGTCTAAGTCATCTAGGCCTTGAGTACTTAAAAGTGAAACAGTCATGGGGTCAATTACTTGAAAAAGGAAAAACAACAAGGACTAAACTATGAATAGATATCAAGAAAGGCAAATAAAACATTGCTATTTTGACTTCAAGAGACCAATTCTCTCTCCAAATCACAAGTGCTACTTTTTACTCAATTGATTTACTGTATTTGCTAATTGAATGCAGCACCAACTAGGGTGGACGGGGAAATGTACATTTTCTGCATAGATTCTGGGGAAAACAGAGTGACTCAGAGGCGAATGTTGCTATTTTGCCATCCTTGATCACAATTGAACATGTTGCTTATATTTCAAGTCATTGGATCAATAATAGAAAATAAAGCTGAATATAGATTTGTCAACATATGTAACATAGAACTGAGATTTCAGAGTTTTACTGTCTGAGTTTGTATCCCAATTCCTTCACTTACCTGTTAGGTGACTTGGGGGAAGTAACTTCACTTTGTCTCGGTTTCCTCTTCTGTGAAATGGAGAAATAATAGCACTTGAATCAAAAATATTTTGGTTAGAGTTTCAAAGAGATGTGTGTGAAGTTCTTAGTAAATATACTGCATGGTAGACGCACCTGACAGCAATAACTTGACTTAAGCACACTGAGAATGACCCTGCGTGGCTGACGCACCTGAATGTGTTCCCAGTCCTGAGCTAAGGAATCTGGGAGGGGCCAACCAGGAGATCCATTCCTTACCTATGAGGAACATCTGAGCCCCAGGCCCCTGCCCTAACCGTGGAATGTAGGCCATACTGGGGATCCAGGCCCTTTGTTTTGGGTTAAATGAAGGTTGCCAGGTGGAGGTTGTTTGAGGGAGGGTGTTAAGTGAAAATGCTATATAAACTATATGCTTTTTACAAGGGGTTGCTATTCTTCTGCCCAGCCCAGTGCCACTGGACTCTCTCCTCTGTCTGTAAGATCCCCCCCATAGACTCTCTCCCCTGTATGTAAGATCCCCCTAGTAAAACCTTGTGTCTCCTTCACTGGCTCCCTCATTGAACCTATTGCCACCCCTACTGGAGTCCATAGAGATTTAGCACAACGTACGCCAAAATGTTATTATTTTTGTAATGCTAATGTTTTTATTATTATAGAAACTATTTTATTTAATACAATTATTAATCATATTATTTACATTTATAATTTATATAACAAATATTTGTGATTATAACTAATATGATTACTATTATCAACATTATTGCTATACCAAGCATTATTGAATCTAAAGCACCCAGATATTTCCTCTGTTTTTTACTCTGACTTCAGAGCAGCATCTGGGGATACAGCCAGATGCCTAGGGCTGAGGAAGGCAAGTCTTTTGTTACTAATAGAGAGACAGCCAGGCTGGAGCACAGAAACCTCCAGAACGCCAGTTTCCTCAGGCGCAATCATCGCCCCTCTCCCACACCCCTCACCACATGTATGGCATTCTTCTAATCTCCAAAGGCTGCTGCAGGCCCCAGCTCCTGGGGTTTATTTTGATAAATGTTTCAAGCTACAGAGTGCCAAGAAACTTGATGCCTTTGCTTTTCAAATACCAGGCCTCTACCTGAAAAAGGAATGCTTAGATCAGAGCAGAGAGATGAAAAGTTCTCAGTTAAACATGCACTGCTCTCCTTAAGCTATTGTCTGCTCTATTCCCCAACTTCGAAAAGTTGGAAGAAAAATATCTACAGATAAAGACTGCTGTAAATCACTAGTGAAAGGTTAAATATGATTTAGCAAATGTTCATTTTATCTTGCAAAGCAGGGTTGTGATGGAACTGCCTTTGTATCTAAAGCCAATAATATTCTTGAAGAAATTTTATGTATTTTAACAAAATCATTCTGCTAAGTAACATAGCTCAAATTATTTAGTGTAGTTCTAAAGTCTTTGTACCTAACAGTCAAAATAAGTTACACCTGGTAATTGTGAGTGTGCAAGATGTTTTTCTCCTTTGGATAGAGGAACTGTTTCTTGAGTACCTGCTAAGTGCCATGCATTTTACTTATATTCTACTATAGTATTTAATACAGCAAACCTGCATTATTTTCCAGACCAGGAAACTGAGGCTCAGAGAAGTTAAAAACAAAAAAAACTACTTGCCTTAAGTCATAGTGCTAACAAACAGAGGAAGCAGGGTTCAGATGCAAGTATGAGTGGTTTCAAAGCTAAACTCATTAATAAAAACTGCAAAAATGCTGACATTATTTCAATTATGGTATTATAGAAAGCTTTCATCTCACCCTATTTAACAGACCACATCTACAGCAACTTACCTATAATTTTCAACACTTTGTGCCTCTAATAGAATTATGTATGTATGTACTTTATGTACAAAAATAGAGAGATAAAGGAATATATTTTTGAAATTTGAGAAATTATGTACTGTTCACATTGAATAATAAATTCTTGCTTATTTGCTTATGTATTTATTATCTTCCCCTACTATATTGGCTGCATGGGAACCAGACCTTGTCCAACTTGGTCATTTCTATATCCTTGTTGCCTATGATAATTCCTGCCACAGAGAAAAGGCTCAATAAATATTTCTGATTAAAAGAATGAATAAATAGTACACTTCAGATATGCCCAGGTTGACAAATTATTAGAAAATCAATTCTCGCTTTCCCTCTGGAAGTGACTGATGTGGGCAGTAGTTCCAGTATGTTGTGACATTTTTTCATTGTGGCATATGTGATAGAAAATAAATCTCTCCTTCTGTTTTGAAAGTACCAGCAGCTATTTCACTAAGTCCAGAGAGTATTACCATTCTCTGTGATTTTGACATGACATCAAATCTATGCTGTTGAATTCTGACCAATTCTTTGACTTGGTCAGATATCTCAGAAACTTCTGAGGAGGTTTTCCCCAAAAGTGCTTTGGTTAACAGTAACAATGGAAGCAGTGATGCTGGCATGATGTAGCACCATGTATTGCTATAGACCTGACATCAGGTTTCTCCTTTATTAGCTCAGTTGGTTTGAGTTTACTATAATGAGACCTAGGTCATGGGTTCAAACCCCTGGTAGAACAATTAGCTTACATTTGTTCCTTGGACATAGGATTAACTCTGAGCTCCAGTTAGTTCCCTTTACTTTGGTTCTGTGCTTCAGAAAGACCAGGAGAAATCTTCACACAAAGCAAAATGGATGCCTACTAAGAGAACAGCAGGAGAATCATCTCTCTATGAAATCTCCCTAGCTCACATTCACACTCTACAAAGAGTTATATTACTGATTCACACTTTGTGGACAATTGGTTTAACACATTTCCTAATTAGGACTATAAACAGCAAAACAATCCATAAATAAGCTTAGAAATAACCAATTGGTTTACATAAAATTCAATATGAAAAAAATTAAGATTTCCAATGTCCAGAAGTAATCCTTGAGAATAAAACTTCTGTAAAGTATCAGCTAAGAGTTTGCCTTAATGAGAAAATAGCCATTCAAGTTAGTCTACGGATGAATACACACTTAACATAAATTTTATATATAGACTCCCAGGAAAGTATTAGTAACTTTATATGCAATAACAAGAAGACATCTCACTAAATGAGAATGTTTCAGTCCTGGAAGAGATCCATTCCAGGAGACACACAGCTGAGCAGTCTACTTTTAATTAGGATTTAATTCAATCTAAGTAAGAGCTAAAAGAGAAATTGGACCTGGGTCTGGTCCACAGAAAGATAGCTCCTTCTGCAGGGTCTGGTCCTCAGAAAGACAGCTCCTTCTCCAGAGAAAAAGTGAGGTCTTTAAAATGACTCCAGGTCACATTAGGTTGCTGAACCAAATGCCAAGTGTTCATTTAAATATAATTAGTTTTTCTTACTTTACCCTCTGGTGAATGAATGACTCCACAATTCATCAAGCAAAAAAAAAAAAAAAAAAAAAAAAACAGAGAGAGAATGAGAATGTTTCCTCTGGAAACCAATGTGGCCCTTCAATTTGGCCAAGCTACCTACCATCTAAGCACTGAGGGCACCCCTGCATAAATGAATATTTGGGTTGGTTTTGTTGCCAAATAAAATATCAGCTAATACTTTGGCACAGATACCGATCGAGATGGCAGGCCATGTTCTGAAAACCTAAGATGACCTTTAATATGGTACCTTTAACACAAGTTGTTCTCTTTCTTGTCATTGTTCCTTTTTTAAGGGAAACGCCTTGGTTCTCTCTTCTTCTTTCCTAGATAGTTCTACATCTTCAGTTACAGACAGACAGGGCCAGTGCTCAGTTAAATTGTGAAGCACTCTATGTTTGTATTTGGTTCCCCCAACTTCCTCTTCTCATGCATCGGGGCCTTCCTCTATGGTCTCCCTCTCCCATTCTCTCCCCATCTTCCCTCTTACCTCCCCTTTCCCCCCTTCATTCAAATCTGCTTGCAGAAACATGTCTATATCAACTGTTTGCACTTGAATGCAATTTCTATTTAGTTTTACCTTGCCAAAGTATTTTTAAACTTTAAGTTAAAAAGATATCTATTAAAAGATATCTACAGCAGATCAGAAAGAAGGTTTGGTTTGGATCAATTTTTGTTTTGATATGTTTTGTTTCCTAGAAGAAGCAGAAAGGTAATTTTTAAAAAGCAGAGGCTAAGTGGTGTCTCAGACCTAAGTTTGAACCCTCTCAAAGGCTTTTTATCTTCTTGAAAGGAGGGAATAATAAGTCTATGTTAAGGTGATGTTAATATTAATGAGATCATTTGTGAGAAGAGCAAAAGCACTACCTTGTGTATAAGAGGTGCAATACATATGACATGTTGTTATTATCTGAGCAGTGAGTCTCTGTTTTCTGTGAAGTAGGAAGCATGATCATCCATTAAGAGTGAAGTACATGTAGTGAAGTAATAAAATTAAATAATTTTGAAGAATTAGAATAGCTGCTGTGGGAAATGCAAAAGGCAGATGAACAATAACAAGTAAAATGATGCCAATGTGAAGGTCATGGCTGGGTTAGAGATCATATATTGTTAGGGACATTATTATGCAGCAGTCAGACAGCCTGGCATGGGGTCAAAGAGAGCAGGCTCTTAGCTTAGCCCAGAGTCTGAGCTGTTCCTTTTTGAAAGCCATTTGAGAGCAATTCTTGTCCACAACAGCATGGACTTAGCCCTCCACCAGGGCTAAAGAAAAACCAGCTCTGGAGTCTGGTCTATGTTGAAAGTACGCTAAATGTTCATTAAGCATGTTCCTGTCTGGGGGAGCCCAGATTCCTGACTCAGCGCCTGCTTTCTAAACAGGAAACAAAGAAACCTGGTTTGGTTATGACTGTGGAAGATTTACTTCTGAGCTCTGGAGCCCTGCTCAAGCATTCTTTTTCCTTTCTTTCTCTTTTAGCTTAAACAAAATGGATATGATGCAGAGCATGGGACCAAGGTCATGGGTGGCTGTTTATCCTGGATCTCCTGGTCATCTCCATCTCCATTTCTGTCATGTTACCACATTTGGCCAGAGCCTGGTTATCTTTTTCTGGAATTTAGATAGATAAGAAAGGTAGTTTCTCTGTTTATGAGGTGACCTACAGACACCAAAGCAAGCTATTCTGAAAAAAATCTCAGGACGGTTCAGTTAAACATTTTCTTTAAATGTGCTGCTGCCTTCCTTGCTCCAATCACTGGTCCATGCAAAACCTCCTTGCTCCTTTCCCACTACCCAATGTGAGCAGATACTGCAGCTTTTCCCCAGAAGCCATCAACAGACTTCAGTAAGTAAGATGCTTCCATTTTTCACTAGTTTGAACATTAGTATAGGATATGGAGTATGATGGGGTGTTGTTTGGGGGTTTTCTTTGTATTGTATTTTTACTGCTTGGTTTACTCTGAGCTTCTTGCATCTATTTGTAAATTTGAGAAATTCTTGGCCATTGTTTCTTTGAAAATCTCTGCTGGCTTGTTCTCTGTCTCTCTCTAAGACATGTTATCCCACATGTCTGAGATGCAATAGGGTGTTTTGTTTTGGTTTTATTTTCATTTGTTTTGTCTCGCTTTTTTTTACTTTTTTATTTCTCTTTGGGTTTCAATTTAGGTAATTTTTATTGACCTATCTTCAAGTTGACTTCAAGTTCACTGATTCTTTCCTTAGCTTGTCATATCTACTGATGAGTCTATCAAAGGTATTCTTCATCTCTGTTATTATATATTTTTTTCATTTCTATAATTTCTAGATATAGATGGGCAGATCCAGGTCTTGTGGGCAACATCCAGCCAGTGGCCTGTTTTCGTAAGACTTATGCACTTAGAAGGGTTTTTACATTTTTTAGAAGTTTAAAAACACTTTAAAAAATAATAATAATATGTAACAGTTCATATGTGGCCCACAAAGCCTAAATATTTACTGTCTGGCCCTTTAGAGAAAAAAGTTTGTCAATCTCTGCCATTGAGCCTTTGACATACTAATCATTGTTATTTTAAATACCCTTTTAGAGAACTACAGCATCTGTGTCAAATCTGAGTATGGTCCTGATGATTGCTTTGTCTCTTGGCAATGGGTTGTTTTTGTTTACATTTTTCTTTCAAGAAAAACCTCTACTTTTTTTTTTTGGAGAGTCTAAGTGAGACAGCTTACTGAAGAGAATAGGGCTATGGTATATGCTTTTTGTGAGTAGAAATGGACATGTCTTTACTTTTCCTAAGCCTTTAGTGCAGGAGGTTGAATTAATCTGGTCAGAAATTATGCTTCAGTTTGTTGTTGCTATGGTTACCCGCAGTGCACCACAAGCCTCAAATTTCTCTGATGATACTCTGGGTTTGAGGTGCAAGCTGGCATGCCAGAGGATTTTTCCCAATGTTTGCTTCACTCAGCTCTAGGTCCTTCTTTTGCACTGTGCCTCACAGTGGGTGTGTCTCATGCTTTTGAAACTCTCCCAGGTACATTCTACTGTTTCTTATTACTCTGTGCTTGTTGGCTTGATGGTTGGAGACAGTGGTTTGTGAAGTCTCAGTCTTAGGCAGAAACTAAGTATCTGGGCTTCAGGGTGTGGCTTTCTCAGTGCTTGTGCTCTTACCCAAGTTGTATTTCTTGGCCTGGTACATGTGCCTTTCCCCTGCCAGGGATAGGTGACTTTTTTCTGTTCCCATCCCCCAGCTATGATGGGTTTTTACCAAGGCAATAGTGTTTGTTGACTTCCTCTCCCTCTGCCTCAAGGTTTTGTTCTCTACAAGAAATCATGAAGACAGGTACTGGTAGAGTTTCATGTCTGTCCTCAAGAGGCAGCTCTACCTATCTCTGAGGACTGCACCTTGAGGGACATTTCTCAAGACTCTTACAAATATTTCTTCTAAGCACCTGGCGAGATACATAGAGAAAAAGCCCGCAATGGAGTGTGAACTTCCACATATTTGCAGCCTCCTGGGGCTCTACACTTTCCTGTAATTCCACATTCAGCCTCCACCAGTTTATTAAATGTTACAGCTAAATTCTTATCAGCTTCTGACTGTATTTACCCCAGGCGACCAAGTGCTTGCATCCCATCTCACCCAACAGGAGCAAGTCTATGTTTAGATTTCATAATACTCAGTTGCTCTGAAACCTCAGCTCTCTGTTGGGTTCAAGGAGAGTAATGAATCTGAGATTTGCCTGGCTACATTTTTGTTTAAAGAGTTAGGAATGGGCTGGGCACGGTGGCTCACGCCTGTAATCCCGGCACTTTGGGAGGCTGAGGTGGGTGGATCACCTGAGGTCAGGAGTTTGAGACCAGCCTGACCAACATGGAGAAACTCCGTCTCTACTAAAAAAATACAAAATTAGCCGGATGTAGTGGCACATGCCTGTAATCCCACCTACTTGGGAGGCTTAAGCAGGAGAATCACTTGAACCCAGGAGGCAGGGGTTGCAGTGAGCCGAGATCACACCATTGCACTCCAGCCTGGGCAACAAGAGTGAAACTCCATCTCAAAAAAATAAAAACAAAAAACAAAGCAAAACAAAACAAAAAGAGTAGGAATGATACTCAACCTAGCTCTCTACATCCCTGAGTGGAAACCAAAAGTTCAAATGCCTCACTTGTTGAGATTGCATCTTTGGACAATGTCACAAGTTGACAAAGATATCAGAGAAGTGCTAGGGTCTTGAGGGGCATAGGCAAAGGCTATGTTGCATGTTGGGCAGAAGAGCCCTGTCTTACTTGGTCCTATAAGTGAGTAAGATTCTCTGATGGGAGGGGCCTGATCATTCCATGGGGTCAGGGACTGACCACAGGAAAATTACAGGATGAACACAGAGAAGGAGCCAAAGAAGTTGAAACTGCTGTTAAGGGTGATGCTGGGTAATAGATAATGGGATCCTAAGTAAATGAGTATATGAAACCAAAGATGGTTCATAGGTTGAGAGAAAAATGAAAGGATCATAACCTTAGGGGTTCAGTAAAGTCAAGAAGCAGGTTCACTGGAACTAAAAAATGAGAGAGAAATGATGTCAGCAAGATGGCTGACTAGAATCCCCTAGTACTCATCCCCCCCAACAAAGACAGCAAAACGGTGAATAAACAACTAAAGTTTAATAAAAATAACTAAAGGAAAATGTCAAAGCACATTTAAAAAAAGTAACAGAGACTCCGATGAGCACAGAAACTCAGGATAGACACATAGAGAACAGAAGGAAACACCTGGCCTCCACCACTCCATCCCTCTGCCAGGATCAGCTAAGAACCAGAAGAAACTTCTCCTTATGAGGAAAAGGTAGGCAAGACAATCCCAGCATCCCCCAGCAACACCTTGGGCACCTACTGTCCTCACCCCTAGGGTCCCCTACAGTCCTCACAGGCACTAAGCCTGACTGAGAGAACTGCCTGGAGTCCACACAACTGTGTTCCCCTCAGAGAAGGAGCTGACACTATACCCTGCCCCCTGTAGCCTGTACAACTACTGCTCTGAAATTACTGCTGCAGCGTGTCTTTCCAGGGGGAGAAGGTAATAGCCATGACACCCCTTCATGCCAGAGGCTAAGCCACTGCTGAACCACTCCTGCCCAGTAGCCAACATCCCCAAGCTGAGCTGCTAACTGTTATGCCTTTTCCTATGTGGCCAAGCAGCAGTGGAGTCACTCCACCTATGCCTTCCCAAACTCCTCAGACTGGAGCTGAAGATATGAACTCCTTTCCAGGCTAACAGTGCTTTCACAGAACAGCTTATCTACCACTCCCAGTGGCTGCTCTGCCCTGCCCCTAGGGACCTAAGCTGAAGTACTGCCTCCCAAGGAAACTGCCTTGGCACAGAGCTGCCACATCTACTCTCCTAGTTGCTGCTATGTCCTGCCCCTTGGAGCTTGAGCTAAAGCTGCACACTCCAACCTGAGGAAACAGTATTTTGGCAAAACCACTCCATCTACATTTCCCAGTCCAGCTGTCCCCTGCCCCCTATGCTGCATCCCACCCCCTTCAGCTGAAGCTGAAGCAGTACATTCCCTCCTGGGGAAACAGTGCGGTGGCCACCTAGGGCAGGCACTCTTGCCCAGTGCCTAAGTTAAAGCAGCAACCTACCTCCCAGAAAAAGGTTCTTTGGCCACCCAGAGTGGTCATGTACCATAGTACTAAAGCTGAAGTAGCTTCCTATATCCCAGGGCTGAGCTAATGTAGTAGCCGACATCACAGAGAAACACAGCAGTGGCTGAGCTGAGACACCCCACCCTATAGGCCAAACAATTCTAGTACCCTGCTTTCCTGTGGTTGGACTAGCCCCCTAGAGTCTCACCTGCTGAGACAATACTCTCCACAGAGAGTTGAGTCATAGTTGTGCTGCTCCCTGCCCCCACCCCAGGGCCCAAACAACTGTGCTCCACCATTCTAATTGCTGCTGTTCCACCTGGACTCACAGAGTCTGGAATAGTGCCACGCCACATCATCTCAGGGTCTAGAGCCACCACTACATGATGCCTTTTCCCTTGGGGCCTGAGTTGCCACTGAGCCCCATTGGCTCAGGTTTCCAAATTGCAGCCATGCACTGTTCCTTGGGCTCAAACCTCCAGATCAACCCTTCCTCCCTAGCATCACGCCAGTGCTATGCTCTGTCTCCCAATAATAGAGTCAGAGCTGCAACTCAGCCCTGGGACTGAGCTGCTAATGGGTATCTTAGAGTCACAGATCCTGGCCCTGTGGGCAACCTACACCAAACCCAGCTACAGAGAGCAAATATGCCCCAAGACCCAGGTGTCACAATAAGTTTGTTGAGACTCTGAGCCTAGAACCCTGGCCCCACAGCCTTTCCAAGCACCCTGTACCTGGAAACCAGCACCACTGCAGCTACTTGTAGGCTGTGTCACACCTGACACCAAGAAGGATCCCTTTGGGTAAGTCTATTTATTGTGGAAAAAACAAGAAGAGGAGGACCCCAAAATACTTTACCACCTAGGACATCAACAGCCAGTGCCACTGCCACTGCCACTGCCACAAACTTCTATGGCCTAGGCCCCTGAGACATCCACAATTATTGCTGACATTGAACACAGCTGAAGATATGGCACAGAGATTATACCACTGCAACTACCCCAAAACAGAGTCACCAGACCCTTCCCAACTGGCACACTAAGACCTAACTGCAAGTGAAAGTCTTTCTCTGCAAAAGCCACTCTAGAAAGTTTGGAAGAGGAGATTATTCCACCAGATGCATAGGCCTCAATGCAGGGACACAAGAAACATGAAAAACCAAGGCAATATGACATGAACAAAGGAATGTAATAACTCTCTAATAACAGACCCGCATAAAATGGAAATCAATGAATTGTCAGAAAAGAAATTCAAAATAACAATCTTGAGAAAACTCAACAATATACAAGAAAATACAGATAGACAATTCTATAGAATCAGAAAAACATTTTATGATATGAATAAAAAAATCAACAAAGAGATATATATAAAAAAGAATCAAACAAAAATTTTGCAGCTGAAGAATTCAGTGAACAAAATAAAAAATACAACAGAGAGCTTCAATGGCAGATTTGATTGCAGAAAAAAAGAGTCTCTGAGTTTGAAGACAGGTCATTTGAAATTACCCAGTCAGAGCTTAAAAAAAAAAAAAAAAGAATAAAAGAATAAAAGAAAAGGCCAGGCATGGTGGCTCATGCCTATAAATAATCCCAGTACTTTGGGAGGCAAGGCAGGCAGATCACTTGAGATCAGGAGTTTGAGACCAACCTGGCCAACATGGTGAAACCCTGTCTCTACTAAAAACACAAAAATTAGCCGGGTGTGGTGTTGGGCACCTGTAATCCCAGCTACTCGGGAGGCTGAGGCAGGAGAATCACTTGAACCCAGGAGGCAGAGGTTGCAGTGAGCCGAGATCGTGCCACTGCACTCTAGACTGGGCGACAGACAGAGCAAGACTCTGTCTCAAAAAAAAAGAAAGAAAGAAAAAAAGAAAAGAATTAACAAAATGATAGGAGTAAGTCCTCACCAATCAATAATAACCATCAGTGTAAACTGATTAAATATCTCACTTAAAAAAAATTAGACTGGCTGAATGAATTAAAAAACATGACCTAACTGTATGCTGCCTATAAGAAGCTCACCTTGCTTCTAAAGACACATATAGACTAAAAGTGAAAGAATGGCAAAAGATATTCCATTAAAACAGAAATCAAAGGCAAGAAGGAGTAGCTAGCTATACTTACATCAGGTAAAACAGACTTTAAGTCAAAAACTTTAAAAGGAGACCAAAAAAAGTTCATTATCTAATGATAAAAGGATCAATTCAACAAGAGAATATCATAATGATAAAGATATATGCACCAGAGCACTCAGATATGTAAAGTAAATATTAGATTTAAAGGGGGAGATAGGCCCTAATACAATAATAGTTGTGTTCTTTAATGTGCAACTGTCAGCATTGAACAGACCATCTAGAGAGAAAGCCAACAAAGAAACATTGGATTTAAACTGTACTTTCAACCAAATGGTCCAAACAGATATTTACAGAATATTTAATCCAATAGCTATAAAATATACGTGTTTTAATCAGCACATGAAATGGCGTCCAGAATAGATTACATGGTAGGCCACAAAACAAGTATCAGCAAATTTAACAGAATTTAAATCATATCAAGTATCTTTTCTGATGACAATGAAATAAAACTAGAAATCAATAACAAAAGGAGCTTTCAAAACTGTACAAATATATAGAAGTTAAACAACATGCTTCTAAACTACCAATGGCAAATGAATAAATTTAAAAGAAAATTTAAATTTTTAAAAAAACAAATGAAAATGGGAACACAGTATATCCAAACCTATGGGATACAGCAAAAACAGTGTTAAGAGGGAAGTTTATAGCAATAAAAGCCTCCATCAAAAAACCAGAGAAGTGTCAAATAAGCCACCAAACAGCGCATCTGAAGGAACTGGAAAGTAAGAACAAAACAAATCCAAAATCATGAAAGAAAAGAAATCATGAATATCAGAGCAGAAATAAATGAAATTGAGATTTTAAAATATGTAAAAGATCAATGAAACAAAATGGTCGATTTTTTTGAAAAGATAAACAAAATCAACAAATTTTTAGCTATACTAACCAAGAAAAGAAAGATGAGACCTAAGTAAATAAAATCAGAAATGAAAAAGGAGGCATTGCAACTGATACCACAGAAATATGAAGGATTATTAGAGACTACTATGAACAACTACATACCAACAAATTAGAGAACCTCACAAAAGTGAATAAATTTCTGGACACATACAACCTACTAAGATTGAACAAAAAAAATTTAGAAAACCTAACCAGATCAATTATTATTTATGAGATTAAACCAGTAATTAAAAGTCTCCCATCAAAGACCAATCCAGGAACTGAAGTTTTCACTGCTGAATTCGACCAAACATTTAAAGAAGAACTAAAACCAATTATTCTTAAATTCTTCCAAAAAACTGAAGAAAAAGGAGATCTTCCAAACTCATTTTATGAGGTCAGCATTACCTTGATACTAAAACCAGACAAAGAAAAAACAACCAAAAAGAAAACTATGGGCCAATATCTCCAATGAACACAGATGCAAAAATCTTCACCAAAATACTAACAAACCAAATCCAGCACATTAAAAAGATCATGCATCATAATCAAGTAGAATTTATCATAGGAATGAAAGGATGGTTCAACATACAAAAATAAATAAATGTGATATATCAACAGAATCAAGGGAAAAAATATATGGTCATGTTAATAGATACAAAAAAAATTGGTAAAATTCAGCATCCCTTCGTGATAAAAGCACTCAACAAACTAGGTATAGAAGGACCATACCTCAACACAATAAAGACCACATATGACAAAACCACAGTAAACATCACACTAAGTGTGGAAAGCTAAAAGCTTTTTCCCTAAGAACTGAAGCAAGACAAAGATGCTTACCCTCACTACTTTTATTCAACACAGAACTGGAAGTCCTAACCCAAGCAATTAGGCAAGAAAAAGAAATAAAGAGCATCCAAGTTGAAAAGGAGGAAGTCAAATTGTTTCTGTTTGCAGACAACATGTGTATAGACATAGAAAACCCTAAAAGCTCCACCAAAAACTCTTAGAACTGATAAATAAATTTAGTAATGTTACAGGATACAAAATCAACATACAAAAATCAGCAGTGTTTCTAGACACCAACAACAGACTAATAGAAATAGAATCAAGAAAGCAATCCTATTGATAATAACTATAAAAAGAATACAAGAATAAATATAACCAAGGAGGGAAAACATCTCTACAAGGAAAACTAGAAAACACTAATAAAGAAATTGAAAAAAATCAAAAAAATAGACATACCATGTTCATGGAGTAAAATAATTAATATTGTGAAAATGCCCATCCTACAAAAAGTGATCTACAGATCCAGTGCAATCCCTATCAAGTACCACTAACATTCTTCACAGAAATAGAAAAAAATCCTAAAATTCATAGAGTACCACAAAAGACCTCAAATAACTCAAAGAAAAAATCTGAAGGTATCACACTACCTGACTTAAAATATAGTATAAAGCTAGATTAATCAAAATAGCATGGTACTGGCATAAAAACAGAAAGACCAATGGAACAGAATAGAGAACCCAGAAATAAATCCACCTATTTGCAGCCAACTGACTTTCTACAAAGACTCTGTGAATGCTCATTAGGGGAAAGGACAGTCTTTTCAATAAATGATGCTGGGAAAGCTGGATATCCATAAGCAGAAAAATGAAACTAGGCCTCTATCTCCCACCATATACAAAAGTCAACTCAAAATGCATTAAAGACTTAAATGTAACACTCAAAACCATGAAGCTACTAGAAGAAAACAACAGGAGAAATGCTTTAGGACATTGATCTGGGCAAAGATTTTATGAAGACCTCAAAGCACAGGCAATAAAAGCAAAAATAGACTGATGAGATTATACCAAACTAAAAAGCTTCTTAACTGCAAAGGAAAAATTAAGAGAATGAAGAGACAACCTCCAGCACAAGGGAAAACATTTGAAAACTATTCATCCCACAAGGGATGAATATTCAGAATATACAAGAAACTCAAATAACTCAACAACAACAACAAATATATATATATATAGGTTAAAAAGTGGGCCATGGGCTGAACAGATATCTCTCAAAAGAAGATATACAAATAGCCAACAGGTATATTAAAAAATGCTGAATACCACTAATCATCAGAGAAATGGAAATCAAAACCACAATGAGACAGCATTTCACCCCAGTTAGAATAGCTATTATCAAAAAGACCAAAAAAAAAAAATGCTTGTGAGGATACAGAGAAAAGGGAACTCATACACTGTTGGGAGGGATGTACATTAGTACAGCCATTATGGAAAACGGTATGGAGTTTCCTCAAAAAGCTTAAAATAGAACTACTATATGATCCAGCCACCCCAATACTGGGCATTAATCCAAAGAAGAGGAAATCAGTATGTTGAAGAGATATCTTTATTGCAGTACTATTTTGCATATATGTTTATTGGAGCACAATTCACAATAGCCAAGATATGGAATAACCTAAGTGTCCATCAACAGATGAATGAATAAAGAGAATATGTACTATGGTGTACATGCCCAATGGAATACTACTTAGTGATAGAAAAAAAGAACAATTCTGTCATTCACTGCAACATAAATGAGCTTGGAAGAATTTATTTTAAGTGAAATAAGCCAAGCACATGTTCTCACTTACATGAGAAAGCTTAAAAAAAAAAAAAAGTTAATTTCCTACAAGTAAAGAGTAGAATAGTGGCTACTGTAGGCTAGGAAGGGTAGTGGGAAGAGGAGGATAGACACGGATGGTTAACAAATCTAGTACAGCTAGATAGAGGGAATAAATTCTAGTGTTCTATAGCACTGTAGAGTGACTACAATAAACAAGAATTTATTGTGGCTGGGCACAGTGGCTCATGCCTGTAATCCCAGCACTTTGGGAGGCTGAGGCAGGCAGATCACGAGGTCAAGAGATCGAGACCATCCTGGCCAACATGGTGAAACCCCATCTCTACTAAAAATACAAAAATTAGCTGGGCACGGTGGCAGGCGCTTATAGTCCCAGCTACTCGGGAGGGTGAGGCAGGAGAATTGCTTGAACCCAGGGGGGCGGAGGTTGCAGTGAGCAGAGATCACGCCACTGTACTCCAGCCTGGGTGACAGAGTGAGTCTCTGTCTCAAAAAAAAAAATAATAATTTCTTGCATATTTTCAAATAGCTACAAGAGTGGATTTTGAATGTTCTCAACACAAAGAAATGATAAATGTCTGAGGTGATGAATATGCTAATTACCATGATTCAATCAGTACACATTATATATATGTACTGAAATATCATATTGGGTCCCACAAATATATGCAATTATGTGTCATTTAAAAATAATAAATAATAATAATTTTTTAAAAGAAAAGAATGAGAAAGCCAGAGGAGGAGATGGATGTGATAAAGGAAGGACTCAGCTAGTTGAAAATCAACTCTGAAGTTGAACAATTCAAGGTACTGGCAATCTATAATGTAGAGTTTCCATGACATGAGACAGTCAAGTAGATATGGTCATCTGGAATGGCAAAAAGGCAGTCCTTCAGGGATGTTGTAGAGGGTGATTCTGTATTAAGAGAGTTAACACTCCCTCTGGGGCGATGAAAATCTCTTTCAATTTTAGGTAACCAGAATTTCAGAGAAAAGGAAATGTTCCAATGATGAAGGCGATCCGAAGCCAAGGAGGAACATCCATCTTAATGAATCCCCCAAATTGAAATGAGTAAAAATAAGTATTTAAAGCTGGAGAACAGAGCCAGGAATGTGAGATAAGGTGAAGCAGAATCCTCATGTTAGCTAGATGGAAGGTTCCACATTGAAGAAGCATCCTACCACATGCCCAGCATTGGTGAATGCCATCCTTGAACCACCTAACCTAACCTATTTTGCCCCTCATTTTTTATCCTGTTGTCACCATTCCCTTGTTTCTTACCTTTCTCCACCCCACCACCCTCTACCATTAACTCTTCCTTCCAGCTTTAGACAAATCCCTGTTTCTACTAACTTTAGATCATTGTTCTCCACCTGATTACATTTTCATCTCTTTTCCTTTGCTTTGCATATCCACAGACAGTCTTCAGGAAGACTCGGCTTCATAATCTGGCCCATAAGGAAAGAATTCCCCAAGTCTGCCCTAATCTTCTGTGTAGGACCTAGGTATGATGTCCTTTAAGTTCCCTTCTAACTCCATGATTCTATAAACTCAGCCCAGCTTTCCGATTTTAGCAGAGGTAAGTAAATACAACCTGAAAGCTATCTTCTTTATTAATTTCAGGCTATCTTAAAATACAACCTGAAAGCTATCTTCTTTATTAATTTCATGCTATCTTAAGTGGAAAATGTTCTCAGTGTCTAGCCTGGCTTTGTTGCCCTTCTAGTTTCAAAGTACATAAGTTTATTATCAAAGTCAAGTCAAAATTCCAGAGTTTGTCATAAATGGTTTTACAGCTGTGGCCACCTAAAACATGACCAGAAAAGCTTGTGTTGGTTTTAAGATGATTGGTTTGAAAGCAGGTTTGACTGGCAGTTGATTTTCCATGGCTCTGAAGTCAAGATCCACGTGGATAAAAAATATATATATGTATAATCCAAATATTGTATGCCAATGTAACCAATAAGGGAATAAAACCTCCAGATAAAATTCCTATGCCTGTCCCAGTTAACTCTTTAATGGATATTAATAAGCAGTGAAATGAGCAGAAGAATCACAAGTGGGAAAATGTCTGGGTAACCCAGGACCCTAGCAAATCTATAAGCTTGGATAACAGAGTTGCCTAAGAATAGCACAATGAGAAACCCAGATTCACTGTGATTATTCACAATGTTACCGTTGAGAAAATTCTCTTCCCTATTAACACAACTCAGGTCCAGAATGGCTTTCGTCACTCAACTCAGCTATAGTATTTTCTTCTGGCATTAGATTAGTCTCATGGGGTTATAGTGTTTTGTCACAAGGATTACTCAACTCTACACACACAAACTCTGTATAAACACAGATGAAAAAGTACACTTGTTCTCACATAAATACTAAAAGCAAATGTGCCAATCCTTTGCTGTCTTTACAGTGATCCATCATGGAACTTTTGCCAAACAGACTGGAGTAAAGTCAATGTTACTTTTTTAAAAGTAAAAAATGCTCTAGGCATAAAAGTGTGCCAGTTTTCTAACTGAAAATCTGATAGACAAATATGTCTGTAAATTCACTTTTTTTTAATGGAAACCACTGGTTTCCAAGTTTTTAAAATACTCCCACCAATAAAAAAAAAAATTGGAGGATGTGTCCCCAATGAGTATTGCTTATATAAATATTAATTTATGTATTATGTGATATAAATCTACTCTACAATGTTATAGATGCAATAATTTTAAAAAGCATTCATGAGATTATAAACATAAATAATGTTAATATTTTAAAAATGTTATTATCTCCATACTATCATTGACTAATATCCTAACACACAATACATACTTAGAGTTTGATACATTGTTAAGTGTAGTAGAGATATGTCCATTTAAAAAAATCATTGCATTGAGATTTGTGATTTTTTTAGAGGTGGGGTCTTGCTGTGTTGGCCAGGCTGAAGAGCAGTAGCTATTCCCAGGCATGATTCTGACTCTTTGTCAGATCCTTTTAATGTGGCTGTCAAAAAACTCCTAGTAGTAGTAGAAGTCTCAACTCTGCCATGCTCTTATTATTACCTCCAGCTTGCATTATTAGTTTTATCTTGCCTTTGACTTTTCTTTGTAAAATATTTCATGAGTGATTTGTTTCATAATTGTAAATGTTAATTTGGTAAATATATGAGTAAAAATATACAATAAAAAATATGTGATTTAAAAACTTACATAAAGGAACACTTGAATCACAATGCATTGCAACAAACTAGGGTAATCAGTTACATGAAAACACCAATGTCAACCTTCCATGATGTGGAACACCTGCTTTTCCTACAAGATACCTTCTACACCAGCTACAAATGGATATGTGGTAAGTATACATCACTGTTAATGAATATTAGTTGTACAAGTAAAAAAGAAAAATGGATAAATTGGGCTTTATCAAAATTTAAAGCTTCTACACCAGCTACAAATGGACATGTGGTAAGTATACATCACTGTTAATGAATACTAGTTGTACAAGTAAAAAAGAAAAATGGAAAAATTGGGCTTTATCAAAATTTAAAGCTTTTGCACATCAAAAGACACTATCAACAGAGTGAAAAGGCAACTGGTAGAATGGAAGGAAATATTTGTAAATTATATATCTGATAAGAGATTAATACTCAGAATATATAAAACTGATCAATGAAAAAACAGTCCAATTTAAAAATGGGCAAAGGACTTGAATAGGCATTTCTCCAAAGAAGATATATAAACAGCCAATAAGCACATAAAAAGGTATTAAACACCACTAGACATTAGAAAAATGCAAATCAAAACCAAAATAAGATACCACTTTACCAGCATTAGGCTGGCTATTATTAAAAAAAAAAAGAAAAGAACTAGTGTTGGTGCAGATGTGTAGAAATTGAAAGACTTGGGCATTGTTGGTGGGAATGTGTAATGATATACCCACAGTGGAAATAGTTTGGTGGTTCCTCAGAAAGTTAAACTAGAATTACTATATGACCCAACAATTTCACTTCTAGGTATATACCCCCAAAACTTGAAAACACCAAGGATACTTGAACAGCAATGTTCATAACAGCACTATTCATTCATAACACCTAAAAGATAGGAACAACCTAAATGTCCATCATCAGATAAATGGGTAAACAAATGTTGTATATACATACAATGGAAGCTAATTCATCTCTAAAAAGAAATGAAATCTTGATACATGCTACAACATGGATAAACATTGAAAACATTAAGCTAAGTGAAATAAACCAGACCAAAAAGGATAAATATTGTCTGATTCCACCTATATGAGTTACCTAGGATAGACAAAGTCATGGAGACTAAAAGAATAGAAGTTACTGTGGCCTAGGGGAAGTGGGAAATGGGAAGGTTTTGTTTAATGGTACAGAGTTTCTGTTTGCAATGATGAAAAACTTCAGGAAGTGGATAGTGGTGGTGGTTTCATAACATTATGAATCTACTTAATGCCAGTGAATTGTAGCCCGGTAAATTTTATGTCATATATATTTTATTACAGTAAAAATAAAGGCCAAAACATTAGTGAAGCTTTATTTTTTAAAGGTTAATGTAAATTAAATGTTTATTACATTTTTTAATGTCCTTGTAAACCTTTTGTGTGTGTGTGTGTGTGTATGAGACAACATCTTGCTTTGTAGCCCAGGCTGGAATGTAGTGGGGCAGTCTCCACTCACTGCAACCTCCGCCTTTCAGGCTCAAGCGAGCCTCCCACCTCAGCCCCCCAAATAGCTGGGACTACAGGTGCATACTACCATGCCCGGCTAATTTTTTATTTTTGTTTTTTGTAGAGACAGGGTTTCACCATGTTGGCCAGGCTGGTCCGGAACTCCTGAGCTCAAGTGATCTGCCCGCTTCAGCCTCCCAAAGTGCTGGTATTACAGGCATGAGCCACTGTACCCAGCCAAAAAGTATAAGTTCTTTTAATGATTATTTCTTAAAAATTCTTTTCTCATGAAATTCTTCTATACTTAACATTTCCCCAGATAGCACCAAATTAAGGTGAGGGGAAAAATAAAAGCATTCTGGGAAAAAAGTTGTTTGTTTTTTCCATTTAATAGGAATTTTCATTCTCTCTCACCCCCTCTCCCTCTCCTGATTACAATCTTCCTGAATGAAACCCAATGGGCTGTAAGCTAAGCAACTTGAATAAACACTAGCCAAATTAAAACAAAATGTTATAGGGAACAATGAGAAGGGCTTGATTTTCCTGAAGAAATTTGAAGTAAGAGTCTTCACCACTGGGTAGGATTGTTTCTTGGCAGCTGAAACCAAAGCTACCCTTAACCAATCAAGGGCCATGCCTTCCTATGCTACCTCCCGAACACATGGATTCATTTTGTGTGCTCGCTCAAGAAGTTGCGCACAGAGCTGAGAAGGTCTTCCAGAGGTCATCTTTTCCTAGCGCCTCTAGGCAGTTTTCCCCTAAACTATTCCAGATTTTTTTATTCCTCAATTATTTAAGTTGCATTGAGCAGTTGATAACTAAATCTCTGCTGTCTAGGAAAATAATATTATAGTCCATGGTCTTAATTTTATTCTTAGATAAATCTGTTTAAGGCAAGGATGCCCTTTAAAGTCAAATTCATTTTGGCTTTCTTTCTTCTTGCATAGTGATAACACTTTGGGAAGCTGGTATTAATGGGAGGTCAGATCACAGACTAAAAGAATTATGTCCATTTTGAACAGAGACTGTTAGACAACAAAATGATCATTTAGCGTCAATATTAGATTCCTTTCTGAATTTAGCCTTTAGGCAATTGGTTTATTAAAGGATTCTAAAAGCTTTTGGCCTTTATGTGAATGAGAGTAAGCACTACAGAGTTTCTAGCTGTAATGAAATCAGAAGGGTCATTCACCCCTGTTCTGTAGACATTAATTCATGACCAGCCTATCCCTCAACAGAGTAAAGTGCTGGGACAGCAGGTGTGTTTGGGGGAGGTATACAACTGCCTGGGAAGCAGCTGGGCTTGGCAGTCTGGGGCCCAGGAACAGAGAGATAGCAAATCTCTTGCACAGGAGCAGTTTGTCCATTACTTTGACCCCACGTGCCTTAACTGGGCTCCTTTGTTTCTTATAAATTTCACATCTACATGTAGAAAAACACATTTTTTCTATCTTTTAAAGTAAACAGCTTTGCTTCCCACTCTGTCCCCTCCTCCATGCCTGGACTGGACATTATTTGTCTTGTGGCAGAAGAGAGAGCAACAGAACACGCGATCGTATTTAATGGTCTCCAAAATTACTTCTGTGAAATATCCACCAACTTGCCACAGCTTGATTTACTGCATCGCCTGGAAATAACAAATGTAATTACATTGGAATCAGCATAATATAAGGCCAGATTGCCGTAACATTCCTATTGCTTGAGAGGAAGTTAATATGAATGAGAACCAGCTGTCTGTCTGTCATCATGCACATTTGGTCAGCTCCCATAACTGATGACAGATATGGCTCTTTTGGAAAATACTTTAAAGTCACATAATTGTAATGGCCGTTTTTTCCTCTGACATCTTTAATATCTATAATGAATCATGTAAAGCGCATCCATATTACCTGAAACCAGGAGATAATTTTGTGATCTCCAAGTGGTTATCTCCCCAGAATAGTATCCAGCCTAATATTTTGGATTTATTTAATAAAAGGGGTAGTATATTCTTATCCAACAATAAAAAACAAATGAACTTGTGACTTCATAGCTAAAGAAATGCCTTGGTGTAACCTGGGCCTTTGGATGGCAAGAAAGGTCTTATATATACGTGGGTATGTGTGTGTATATATATTATATATATATAGTATATATAATTGAATCAGACAATTTTAGAGAAACAAAATATTTTAAAGGAACTAGACTTTTGGGGATCTCTGCTTTGTGCTAGGCTGTCTACATTCACTTTCTTATTTAACTTCCACAACAACCCCACCTCGTGAGTTAGATGTTATGACCTTTTTAAATCTTTAAAAAGCTTTAAAGAGAACACTGAAGTTTAGTGACACTAGTAACTTTCCTAAGATCATACAACTAGTTAGTAATAAGGTTGAGAGTAAGATCTAGGCCTCTTCGACACAAGTCAATAATAAAACCATTAATGAAAGAGTTCAGCAAGATTGGCAAATTCAAGATCATCATAGTAAAACTGGTAACTGTCTATGTGGCAGTAATAACTAATTAGACAGCGGAATACAAAAAGCTGATTCCATTTATAATTCAGAGTAATGAGAGTGTGATGGTAACTCAAAGGTAGACAGATCAGTGGAACTGGAGCATGACCACATGTACTGATATCTGATATATGACAGAAGTGTAATAAATTAATGGAGAAAGGATGGGCCAATAAGTCACTGGTACCTGGAAAATAAGATACCCATATAAAAATGTTTGACTCCCTATTGTATACTATATACACATTAAAAATATTCCAAGAAAACTAACCTAAATATCAAAGGCAAAACTTTACATACTTTAAAAGAAAGTACAGGAAACTAAACAATGTGGCACTATGGAAGGAATCCTTAAATAAAACCCAAAATCACAAATGACACATGAAAGATTCATAAATTCACTAAATTAAAATGAAGGCTTTTATGCAACCAAACACAGCACAAATTAAAAAAACAAGTCACAGACTGGGATAAAACATTTGCAATACATATAGCTAACAAAAAATTGGCATTCAGAACATATAAAGTATGCATAGAAAACTATTATTTGATAGAAAAAAATGAACAATTCACAGAACAGGAAATCTGTTGGTTACTTAATATGTGAAAAGATTTTTTAACCTTACTAGTAAAAAAGGAAACAAATTAAAACAATGTGATATGATCTCACATTTATCAAAGTGACAAGTTTTAAAAGTCTGAAAATACCTAGTGTTGGCCAGATGTGATGCAACAGGAATGCTCATTTATTGCTGATGGAATTGGAACAACTACTTTGGAGCACAACTTGACAAGGTCTAGTAAAGCTGAAGATGTACATACCTAACACCTTATAATTCCAGTCCTATGTGCGTGGCTTAGAGAAACCCTCTGACACGCATGCAAGGAGAAATAAGAAGTGTTAATGGTAGCATTGTTTATAAAAACAAAACGATGGGAAGCCAAATATACTTAAATAAAAGAAAGGATACATTTTTATATCGTATGCATAAAATGAAACATGGAACAGCCGTTTAAATGAGAAAACTATATCTACTTGTAGCAACAGGGATAAATTTCAAAAACATAATGTTGACAAAAAAAGAAAGTTGCAAAAACATTAGTACACTATGATATATATATCTAATTCAAAAACATTTAAAAATATGACATGTTTATAGAAACAATATGGAAATTTATGTTTTACTGAACAATGAAACATTTAGTTTGTATATATATATGTATAAAATCATGCATATAAAAAACAGCAAAATCTTGTTTGCTTCTCTTCAAAGAGGGACAGATAAGAATGAAATCATGGAGAGTTCTGTTAGAGAAAGCCCTTAAACATTTTTCTTAAAAGAAATAATCAGAAACAAATATGGTATTAGCGGGTGATGAAAAAAAGAGAAGATGAAGAGCATAGGAGGGAGAGAGAAAAGAAGGAAGACAAGAAGGAAAGAAAAATATTTAAAGAGTCTAAAACTCTAGATCAAATCATTGGTATTTTAACTTTCTATACAGTCATTTAATTTAAAAATATATCAATAATAACAATCTATTCAGTCATTATAATTTATGTGTAAGTAAAATGAATGACAGAAATGTTATAAAGGATTAAAGGGAAGAACTGGGAATACTCTGTTACAGGATACTTGAACTACCTGTGAAGCAGTATAGCATCAAAGAATTTGAAAGTGGACTTGAAAGAATTGTAAATGTATATTGCAAACTCTAGGGCAACCACTAAAAAAGTTAAACGAAGTGTAATTTATATGCAAAGACAGGAGAGAAAAAAGAACAATATTAAATACTCATTTAAAACTAGAGAGGGGAGAAGAAGAGAAGAAAATGAAGTAAAGAACAAGGGCTATGAATAGAAAACAGTTCCAAGTATGGTAAATATTAATCCAACTATATGAATAATTACTTAAATGTGAACAGTCTAAATACGCCAAAAATTGTATTGTGTTTTTAATCTATCAGTAATAAAATGTCCAGATCCTCCCTTCAAAAACAAAACAAACAAAACAGATTAAAGGAGAAATTTTCAGACTTTTTGAAATCCTTATATTATGAACAAGTGGGGCTGGATTTGATATGATTTTTTAAAATTCACTATTAATTGGAATGAGGTAAATTTGAGTAAATTAAACAAATCCAGAAATTTTAATAACTTGAAAGCGTGCAATTGTAAAATACTCTGTATCTACAGCTGTTTACATTCATATGTGTGGCAGGTTTATATCTTGAACTATGAAGCGGGCTGGTCTCTGTGTAAGGGCCAATTAGATAGAGCCATTTTCTCTCCACTCATCTAGAAACAAAAATTCAAAAAAATCTATGAGCTAAGTACCAGACTTAATAAAAATAAATTATATTAAGACAAAATACAAAAAATGTATGAATATATTTTTCTTTCATATTAGACTATACATACTCTTTTAAAATATTTTACTAAACAGAGAAGCATGGTTTGCATTTTTTACCTAAATGAGATCACATTCTGCATATTCTTTTATAACTGACATGTTGTAATTGTACATATTTATACATATTCTTTTGAAAGCTACTTTTTGCAATTCATGTATACCAATTTTATTTCAGAAAATGTTCATCTCACCTAATATTAGAACTTAGATTCTCCCCTATGGATTCTAATACCTCCTTTAAAACTCATTGGCACAAATCATAGCCAATCCAAGAACACACACATTGCATCCAGCTCCCTTATCCCTTATGTCTCTTCTCATCTAGAACAGACCATTTATCATGACTTTGAACAATTTTACAAGATGTGCCACCTTCTGATTTTGTCTGGTGGCTTCCTTGTGGTGAATTTTAACTTATTCTTTACTTTGTAAACTGAGAGTTATATCTAAAGGCTCTATGGATTCAAGTTAAGCATATTTGGCAAGATAATATTTCATGTGATATTGTCAACTTCATGTTGCATCACTTAAGAAAAGACATATTACCTGGTTGACCTGCCATTAATGATACTAAATTAACCACTAGATTCCTCTATTTAATAGTAGTGTTTCTCCCTTTGCAACCAGAAAGTCATCTATGTAATACTACTTTGGTATTATACTAATATCCCATTCACTAAATAATTTTAATGGCCATTGATCATCATGAATTTGTAATTTCTTTATAGCACTGATATATAGCAAGGAACAAAACAAACAAATATCCTTGCTCCCATGGAGTTTACCAGCTAGTGAGAAAGAGAGATAATAGACTTAAAAATTAGAAAAATACTGTATAAAGGCGGGGCGCAGTGGCTCACACCTGTAATCCCAGCACTTTGGGAGGTGGAGGTGGATAGATCACTTGAGCTCAGGAGTTTGAGACCAGCCTGGGCAACCTTGTGAAACCCTGTCTCTACAAAAAATACAAAAATTAGCCGGGTGTGGTGGCCTGTGCCTGTACTCCCAGCCACTTGGAGGGCTGGGGCGGGAGGATCACTTGAGCCCGGGATAGACGAGGTTGCAGTGAGCCAAGATCATACTACTGCACTCCAGCCTGGGCAACAGAGTGAGACCCTGTCCCAAAAACAGACAAACGAAAAAGAAAAGAAAAGAAAAATACTGCATGAAGTAGGTCATGTGGTGAAAAGTGCTATGGAAACAAATAAAGATGAGAAAGGGTGAGAAAATGAGGGGATGGGAGTGAACTGTGGAGTTGTTGTTTTAAACAGGGGTGGTTAGGGAAGGCCTCACTAGGTATCTGTGACTTTTGTGCAGAGACAATTGGACATGTGGACAAGAATTGTTCTAGGTAAGTGCAAAGGCCTTGTGGTAGATGCTTGCCAGTGTATTTAAGGAACATCCAGGAAGCCAATGTGACTGGATCAGAGAAAGTGGAGGGAGAGTAAGAGCAGAAGAGGCCAATAAGTAGAACAGAGAGTGGGCTGATTGAGGAGGCCTTGTGCGCCAATAGAAGGGCTTTGGCTTTTACTCCAAAATAGGCTGTAAGCAGAAGAGCAACATGATCTGTCTTGTATATTACAGGAATTTCTCAGGCTGTTGTGTCCAAAATAGGCTATAAGGAGACTTTTGATTCAGCGCTAACATGTAAAGCTTGAAAGTCATCACTCCCATCCCTAAAACAAGAAAACAGTAGAACAAACTGAAAATCAACAACTGTTCTTGAACTGTTCAGAGAACTGAGGTCCCAGGGCAAAGGACCACCCTGAAATCTGGAGACCCAGGAGAATATAGAGATCACAGCCGAGATCTGCTTATCTGAAGTGGAAGCTGTTGGAGCCAGAAACTGGCAGGAACACCTGCGCGGTAATTTTGACAAATGGCTGGAAATGTTAGTGTGGACTAGGATGACAGTGAGAAACTCCTGGGGGATTAAGAAGACCTTCATGCTTTCTTAGGTCAATCTCCACAAGCCCTACCAGGGGAAATATACACAGGAAAGAGCCAACAAATATCTCCTCATAGCTCTGGCAAGGGGAGGAGAAAAGTAATTATTTTGAATACACCATGAGCATTCTCCATCAGAAAGGCCTACTCTCCAAGAGAAAGGACTTCACCAGATCCTTACTCCACCTAGGCCAGAAACTCAGACCTACACAAAACAGACTGGGGAGCAGGTGGGAGTGGAAGTTGATAGTTATTGCAACATTCATAAAAAGCAAAACTACAGGTTGTTTTTTCCCATGAAGAATCTAGAAAAGATAGGGCCTAGAGGAAGTAGAAAAAGCAAGCCAAGTAGCAACTTTGTTAGAAAAGGACAGTTTAAGGTCATGGACAGGGAAGGAAATAGTGAACCATCTCCCCAGAGAGCAGAATGAAGGTGCTATCTCTGAGCCATGGCTGTCCTGGAGAGAAATGAGCCCTCCTCTTCCACAGCAGACTCATTTGAGTCTGGACATCAAATGAGTGGATACAGTGCTTTCCAGGTATGCTGGACACTTGAAAGCTCCCTGGACAGAGGGTAAGAGATTCAGTTACCTTGGGTGGAGACAAGGGCATCGAGGGAGACCTTTGCTATCTGACCTAGGTAGACCTAAAGAAAACCCATGGAGAATTTGTTCTTGTACCAACACTTCATCACAGGTTGCAAACTTCCCTTCACCAATGGGGTGTATGTTTCTGGAAACTGGAGCAATGTTAGCAATTTTCAACATTGCTGTACGCTCCTAAGGTCACAGGATCACCTGAAAACACATTCACACTGGAAGTCAGCATTCTCTTCCTTTCAAATCCCCCCAGATCATGGCAAATTTCTAGGCTTTTTATTTTTTAATGACTATCCCTCATGTAGTTGTGGATCAGAGCCCACAGGTTGCACAGATGTTGATGATGTTCATCCTAACATTATAGAATTCCCCAATTCCTGGTTGTCTGTCAGTCTTTACCCTGTAGCTCCTCAAGCATTTCCTAGAAAGAACCTGAAACTACTATAAAACTTATATTTTAATATTCAGGAAGTACCCTTGTTTTTGTTTTCCAGCAGATCCAGCCCAACCACTTGCATTTTCTCAGTCATTTTAGTTAAAACTATTTGTCAGGGTACAGCCTAAATGGCAGACAGGCCACATCACAGTACACAGGACCCTGTCAGAAAGGTTATCTTTGATGAGGTAACTCTGGTTTCACTGCCATTTCTGTGGCAGCACCTGGACATTCATGGGATACTGGAACTTGAGGTAGCCCCCAAAGTCCAAGAAATGAGACACAAGAGGATTCTCACTTTCAGTAATCTCCATGCTGGTTTATTTCTATGTCTTTGTGACTGTTTACAATCTGAACATCACAGACTGCATTAGTGAAATTTAGTTGTTTACTATGAGTGAATGAATGAATGGCTGAATAAAAACATATCAGAAAGCAATGTTAAATACATACTTAAACTCTCTTTCTAAAGGGAGCTCTCTAACTGCCGCCCTCTGGAGAAAAGGCATCTTAATTTTCCACTTCCTATATTTATGGTAGAAAAATATAGGAAGTATGTGGAGGTGAGACACCAAATGGGAGGATGGCTTCACAAGTAAATATTGGCCCTCAGAACTGATGAGGTCCCTGGCCTGGTGTACTGAACTCAGAATAAAGCACTGGAGTGAGCAGTTGGACTCATTTCCCAGGCTGCTGTAGCAAGTTCTCACAAACATGGGAACTTAAAGCAACAGAAATGTATTTTCTCACAGTTCTGGGGGCCACAAGTCAAAAATCAAAGTGTTGTCAGGGTTGGGGAGACTCTGAGGGAGAATACCTTCCATGCCTCTCTCATGGTTCCTGGGTGGCTGTTGGCAATCTTTGCCATTCCTTGGTTTGTAGACACGTTGCTGCAATTTCTACCTCCATCATCATGTGGCCTTCCCCTGTGTTTCTCTGAGTCTCAAATCTTTCTCTCATTTCTCTTACAAGAAAACCAGACACTGGATTTTGGGCCCACCCGAAAACCAGACACTGGATTTTGGGCCCACCCGAAAGCCAGACACTGGATTTTGGGCCCACCCGAAAACCAGACACTGGATTTTGGGCCCACCCTAAAACCAGGGTGATCTCATCTTAAGATTCTTAATAACATCTGCACAGAGCTTATTTCCAAATAAGGTCACATTCACAGGTACCAGGAATACCTTGTCTTATTGGGACCACTATATAACCTACCAAAGAGGTGACAGTACCTTAGCTATAGTCAGTGCACCAAGAGACCATATCACAGGCCTTAGCTCTAGTTCTCAGTGGCTCCAAGGATGAGGGAAAATCAACATAATAACAGCATACTGGATTGTCTACACACACACATACACACACACCCATTGTAGTGGTTTTTGGAAATTATTTCAGGGACAAGTAGTGTTATAGAGATCAGTGCTTCCCAAGGTGAAATTAAAATAAATATGTATGTGATAGTCTCACCATCTTAATAAAAAAGGTAGCTGTTTAGTGGCAGCACTAGCAAAGTAACTTGTTAAAGCTCTTCAAAAGAATTTGCCCTTGAAGCTGGGTGCAGTGGCATGCACTTGTGGTCCCTCCTACTTGGGAGGTTGAGGTGGGAGGATTGCTTGAGCCCAAGAGTTTGGGCCCAGCCTGGGCAACATAGACTCTGTCTCTAAAACAAACGAAAAAAAAAATATTCTTTTAAATGATTAAATCGCCTACTTCTTCCAACTTGTTTACTTGATGACTTTAATAAACCAAATTTTTTAACCTGATCAGATGGTACTTCTTATGAAATGTGAATAAATTAAGTGTGAGTTGATGACGTGCCCTGATGCTGAATTTACCCATCAGTATGTGTCTGAACAAGATGTAATGCCACTTTTCCAGCCTTAGAAGTCAATGTTTGATTATGCAGCTGATTCCAATGACTTCTAAATAAAAGATGGAAACAAACTTCATCAGTTAAAAATTAGAGTAGTATTACTGAGATGCTTACCACATATTCTTGTGTATAAAGCACTGAAAAAGGTACAAGTGGGAGGATGACTTTTTATAAATTTTTAATAGTTGATGTCATAGTCATTGAACTTTATATTTTGACCATGATATTATTTTATTTAAAAAATAGATTAGGTAAACTATGCATAAAGCTAGAAATGAAAAGGGAATCTGTAAACCCCAAGGTCTTATGAAAAGGAGTCATAACTCTCAGCAAATGTGTAAGTTAATATATATACATGTATAGGCTACAATTACCCAAGCATTACAAAGAATCCAGGCAAAAGTTAACTCTACCCTGTTGAATGTATGCCAAAAGCCATAATATTTTATTTTAATACAACAAAGACTATATCAAACATCCTGGAATCTGGATCAAAGTACCTAAGAATTGAATTATTTTGACAAAATACAGGTTGGACACTCATATCCTTTTTGTAAGGAAATGAAAATTCCTTACAAAAAGGAAAAGTGAAAATTCCTTTTTCATATCATCCACTCTGGTATAATGCAAAGTGCCTTTACACTAATACAAATATATAACATCTTGGCTTTGCCACTTATCGGTCATAAGGCTAGGGAAAAAAAAAAATCTCCCAAACAATGTGAACTATGAATTCCATAACTAAAAAGTGGAAGCGTAATACCCTTCTTGCAAGGTCTTTGTGAAGGTTATAAATAATAAGGATAAAGTGTCTGATTTTGAGTGTCTACTGCTATTCCTAGGCTGTGGTCTTTCATTAGGTGAGTCTAAGAGACCATAGTTAGGTGGGTTTGGCTACTTCATGTAGCTCTGTGTCGAGGGAAAAAAGGACAGATTTCAATGTTAATTTGTAGATTGCATTTCCATATAAAAATCTGGCTCTTTTACATTTCTTTAATTACGACTAAGGAGCAGTGTGGTATTCATAATGTGACAGACACAAAGATGTGCCACTCACATCCTCCTTCAAGAAAGCACTCGCTGCCCAGCTGTGAGGAGTGTGGTTTGCCCCTGGCCTCCAGCTGTTAGTCCTTCAGGGTCTGCTTCAGCTTTCCGGTACATTTCACACATGAGCACTGCTAGTTGTGCGGTGGACCCTAGCCAATGACTGAGTCGGGCAGTGGTAGCCAAGAGCCTGTTCTCGCAGCAGCCTCCTGCCAATGACTGAACAGGGAGTGAGGCAAGGCCCAGCCACTTCCACCCAACGCAGATTCCTCTCATGGGCAGGTGTGCTCCCAAGCTTCCCACTGGGCTGGCAGAGGCTTGGTCAGGTTGGCATCATGACTGACAGCACCCCTGCCCAGTCCTGCTCCCTTCCTTTTCTGTTCCCAGGCGTACTCCCCAATAAATAGTTTGCACTCCTAACAGCCACAATGTCTGCTTCCAGAGAACCCAAATTGTAACACATAAAAAAATGTTTCAGAGATGTATCTTACTAAGCCACAATAACAACAACAACAACAAATCCTGGTAGAAGAACTAATGGAAATGCAGAGGTTCTTCATTACTTTGCCTAAAACCTCCCAGACCAGGTATCTACTCTATCCTAAATGAACAATTCATAGCTTCAGTCTGTTCCTGTTAGTGTTAAGCCAATATTAGTATTTTTCTGTTTGGTCCAGTGGGAATTTGCTTGCTTTGAGTTGAGCCTGCTTCGTCATGTATTCTCTGTGTCTCTGTGAAGATGAAGAAAAAAGCAGCTACACTGTGATTCAAGACACTGAAGCCATTCTTTTATATTGATTAAAATTCTCAACTTCTTTAAATATCCCTCTGAGGTCTTATTTTCCAAGCTATTCATCATTTTTATTGCTTTTCTCTGGAAATTATCCAAACTCTGCACCCTGCATCTGTCTTCAGATGCAGTTTCAAACTCCTTGCAGGTCTCTAGTAACAACCTGGCTATTGCAGAATAAGACAGAGAAGCTCAATGGCCGTAACTACTGACAAGAACTCACTATAAAAACTAGGGATACAAGTTTTCTAGATACGTTCACCTTTATCATTCAGTAATCGCATAATATTTAATATTTTACTTGTTTTTACCCCCTTACTCAAGAGATTTTTGATAGTATTATTTAAAATGTACCAAGAATCAGTAATATACAAAGAATGACTCCAGCAGAAACACAAAACATGGTTTTCTATCAATTCTGTAAATAAACATTTTATAAATCTTCCTATTAAAATAATACTACTGGCACTTATACCCACACATGTCCCTGAAAGTGATGGCAAATGACACAATAGAATGAAAAGGCCCAATGCTTTTGTCTTCTATTAATGTTTATTCTTTTAAAATAAATGCAAAGATTGCCATTGACTCTGTTTGCAGTCCATTTTCTTTATTAGCCAGCTTTCCTGGCCTCCACAATCTGGTATATGATCTGCCTTTCTAGCACATTCTCCAAGAATCCCTTCACTCACTTTAAATTCCATCAAACTGAACTGTACACCATTTCTCTGCAAACAGTGCTGCTTTCCTTAGCTCTCTGCCTTACTTAGCATTTCATACATCCTCAAATGCATTTCCTCCCCCATTCAAATAGTTTGTCATCCAAAACCCAATCTGAAAACCTCCTTTGCCTTGAAGCCCTTTCTAATGCCCACAGTTGTACTTCCTCCCTTCTCTGAATGCCAAAAGCACCCGGTTGCACAATCCCATTCTACATTATATTACCTGACATGCATGTGCATCTTACTTCAGATGCTCCTCTGGCCAGGAACACTGGCTTGTTTTGTTTTTTTTGTTTGTTTGTTTGTTTTTTGCTTTTTGTCTGTTTATTTGTTTTTTGAGACGGAGTCTCGCTCTGTCACCCAGGCTGGAGTGCAGTGGCGTGATCTCAGCTCACTGCAACCTCCACCTCCCAGGTTCAAGCAATTCTCCTGCCTCAGCCTCCCAAGTAGCTGGGACTACAGGTGCATGGCACCATGCCCAGCTAATTTTTTGTATTTTTGGTAGAGATGGGGTTCACAGTGTTAGCTAGGATGGTCTCAATCTCTTGACGTCAGGTGATCCACCCGCCTCAGCCTCCCAAAGTGTTGGGATTACAGACGTGAGCCACCACACCTGGCTTGGCTTGTTTTTTCTGTGTACTCCCTCCACCTTTCTGCCAAATATTCATCCAATAAGTTACTGGATTGGTCACAAATATGTGCCAGGCACTCAAGTAAGTACTGGAAATATAACTACAAGCAAAGTTGTCTTGGAACCTATCCACAGGGAACTTAACAGGAAGAACTACTGAAAATGCAATGACCGCAGTCCACAGTGAGCCTAGGGCTCTTGGGCCACTGTAGGAGACATAGGTAAGGCTCCTAATCCAGACTTTAAGATCAGAGAACTCTAACAAAGACTAAACTGCAAGCATTTAGCCAGGAGAATAAGCAAGGTGGCAATGATAGTTACAGGTAGAGAAATAGCTCTGAAAATGACAGGAGTGAGACAGCACTGTAGTGTCAAAGCATGGCGGGGAGCATGAGAATGGTGGGGCCAGAACTGAAAGTGAGAGGTGAGGCTCAGATGTGAGCAGAAGCTGATCAGGACAGGCCTTTTAAGACAGTGAGGGAGATCACCTATTAGCCCAAGGAAAATGGCAAGTAACTGAAAGAAAATCAGGATTTGCATTTTCTTTTCTTTTTTTTCTTTCTTTTATTTTTATTTTTTTTTTTTTTTTTTTTTTTTTTTTTTTTGTTTGAGAAGGAGTCTCGGCTCTGTCCCCCAGGCTGGAGTGCAGTGGTACAATCTCGGCTCACTGCAACCTCCACCTCCCAGGTTCAAGCGATTCTCCTGCCTCAGCCTACCAAGTAGATGGTATTACAGGCACCCACCACCATGCCCGGCTAATTTTTGTATTTTTAGTAGAGACGGGGTTTTACCATGTTGGCCACGATGGCCTCGAACTCCTGACCTCACATGATCTACCCACCTTGGCCTCCCAAAGTGGTGGGATTACCTGAGCCACCAAGCCTGGCCAGAATTTACATTTTCAAATGATCCTTCCTAACTGAAAGGGTCATTTGGTTGCAAGAGACAGGGAACTGGGAGATTACTTAGTAGCGTTAGTAGTCCCTTAAGTCTTAGTAGCGTTAGTAACTAAGTTGCTAACTTAGTAGGGTAAGTAAATAACTTATTAGCATTGCCAATAATCCAGGCAAGTTTCAATAGGTGGTGTGATATGAGACATATACCCATATATTGCAAACAAATATAATATGCCAAGTTCCAAGTCAAATGCATATCTGCCAGCTTTCACCCTCTCCATGAATAAAATTTAAGTGAAAATAAACAACTACTCCATATCAGTGGGGGCCTCCGACTGTCCTGTGCCAGACTGCCTCATCTAACATGTGCATTTTTAACACACCTGGTGCCATTTTAGCATTTCAGCTGTGACTATCACAGAGAAATTCACTGAGTTTCCAAGTGTTGCTGCAGTTCATGATTCATGTGGTTAATCAATCAATACTGCAAGCATTTTTATTTTTGTAACAGATATAATTACTATACTTAATTGATAAGCACTGAGGACAAACATTTAAAAAACATATCCAAGAAAGCCCACTAAAAAGGAATGATATCGTATTTTCTTCCCCAAATTCCTTTGACGACAGGCAAAATCAGCAGGCACTTTTGCTACTGCCTTTGTTTAAAACTGATTGGTAGATGAGAAGTAGTTTAGATGTTACTTCATTGGGAGTTTACATTTTTGGTCGGGAAATAGCACAGATCTCCCTGTGTAATATAAAACTATTTTTATCCCAGCACTTTGGGAGGCCGAGGCGGGCGGATCACGAGGTCAGGAGATCGAGACCATCCTGGCTAACACGGTGAAACCCCGTCTCTACTAAAAATACAAAAAAATTAGCCGGGCGTGGTAGCGGGCGCCTGTAGTCCCAGCTACTCGGGAGGCTGAGGCAGGAGAATGGCGTGAACCCGGGAGGCGGAGCTTGCAGTGAGCCGAGATCGCGCCACTGCACTCCAGCCTGGGCGACAGAGCGAGACTCCGTCTCAAAAAAAAAAAAAAAAAAAAAAAAACTATTTTTGAATGGCAGAAAAAGACAGAAGAGAAATGCAGCAGGTGATATTTCCTCATGGTTACAGCATGCACCTCTCCACTGCATGACCAGCACTGCCACCACCAGCTCACAAAGAGATCAGCGTTCTCTTCCCAGCAGATCACGTGGTGTTTCTTAGTTCAGGCTGCTATCACAAAGTACTATAGACTGAGTGGCTTATAAATAATACACGTTTATTTCTCACAGTTCTAGAGGCTGAAAGTCTGAGATCAGAGTGCCAGCATGGTCAGGTTCTGGTAAGGGGCCTCTTCCTTGCAGACAGCCAACTTTTTATATCCTCACATGGTAGAAAGAGAATAAAGGAGCTCTCTGGGATCCCTTTTATAAAGGCACCAATTCCATTCATAAAGGCTCTCCCCTCATGACCTAATTACCTCCCAAAGGTCCCACCTTCTGATACCATTTCACATACAAATTTGGCGGGGGATAGACATTTAGTCCATTTCATAGTGTTATGGTGAGAAACTGGGAATTGTCTTAATAGCTACCATAGCAACTATCTAGTTCACACCAAAAAGAAGGACCCTACATAAACCATTTTGAAACAGGCCATCCTTTTTGGTGAATGTCCTCTATCATCTAATTGACTCAAAAATTAAATAATTAACTTGTTCAGTTACCTAAGCACATATTTATTTTAAACCAGATATACAATCATTTTAACTTGAAGTATGTACCAAGAAATTATATTGCTCACGACAGTGTTCTATGGACTCTTAATAGAGCTGTTTTTATTATTTGGCTCTGTTTGGTCTTACAGATGAGATGAGTATTTGGTTGTACCTATTGTAAAAAACAAAGCAAAACATAAACGCCTAGGCTGTGGCTCTGTTATATGAATATTCAAGCCTGATTTGTCCACATATATACGAGCTAAAATGGTTCAAAACTTGAAGTTTGTGGATTTTCTTGGCCAGGCGTTGCCCAGAACCTTCAGCTGGGCATGCCTCCTTGTCAGGCTTCTAACTTTCATAAAGAAGTGACAGTTGTCCCTATCATCACAGATCTTGCTCAGCTAACTGATAGAAAATAAATCTATACACAGTAGCAGAAAAGATTAATTGCAAAGCCCAACAACCTGTCAGAGAAAAGGACCTTGAATTCTTTGTTCCTCAATAGAAGACTGAAGAATATGCAATCCATGTATTCCTTTAGCTGTTCAAAAATCTTTACTGCATCAAGCCTTATAAACGAATTATGTAATTGGATGGCACCTTTTGTTTTCCTAGTTAAATCACTTTTTTCTCAATGTGCTTCAACAGTCTCTCATCAGCATATTTTGTGAGATAATATGAAAAGAGAATCCTATAATACTCAGAATCTATTTATTTTACTCTAAGGGTATCATCAACTATATTGTTTCTTGTGTTACCTGCTGACCTCTTTAAGAGAACTCCTAGGATAAATTTCTTGAAGGTCTTAGTGCCAGAAAGAGCTGGGATTCCCCCAAGGCAATTGGTCTCACTTTTATTTTTTATGGATGCAGTGAATCAGAGACCTGGTTATGTTCCTGTCTTTGTGTTGCCTGCTAGAAATCTTACAGCCAAATCAGTGGCTCACGGATTCACATTAAATTACTCTATGCATTTTTTTATTACAAAAAGATAACATAATTATTAAAGAAAGATGTAAAATTCTGACAAGAAAAAAGAACATAAAAATTACTTGTATTCTCACTATTCCAAGATGATCACTGTTATTTTGTTAATTTTTTAGAGCTTTATTCCTATGTATATGTCCTTTTAGTCTTTTGTAAAAATAGAATCACATTACGTATCTCTATTACTTGCTCTTTTCATTCGATAGTTTACTGTGAAAATAAATTACATATTATTAAATATCCTGCTGCAACATTTTTAATGACTGTTGAGAATAAACATTCCATAGATGTACCAACATCCATTCAACTATTCCCTTATAATTATTTATGTTCTTTCCATGTTTGTGTTATGAATATTTTCTGATGAATATCTTTATTACAGTACCTTTATAATAATCTTTTATGAAAATCTTTTATTTCTTTAAGAACACATTTGTAGAAGTAAAGTGATTAGGTCAAAATGTGTGTAAAATTATAAGGTTACTGTTAGAAATTAAGAAATTGCTCTTTAAAAGGCTGTATACGTTTTTCGTCCAACCAGCGGTTTTATTAAATCTCAAACATTAGTTACAGAAGGCTGTTTGTATTATTTGACACTTCACACACATGAGCATGTAGGCACACACACACACATTCACAGAAACACTGAGCACGGGTGCTGCTGCTGGGCTAGTTTAATAGATATGGATATGGCGGCCACCAGCTTACCCTCTGGGCCTGGCCCCACAGGGAATAGATGGGCCCCAACATCACATCTCTGCTCCATGATTCTGACTAAAACAAGCGAAGAGTAGACAGTTGGTCTAAGTTAGATCATTTTACACTTTCTCTTGAATTTTCACAAAGGAAAGAAGAGACACAGAAACTGGAAATGGTTGGACTTACCATTTCCAAGGAATAGAAGGCCCCCTGCCCCCATGAGAATATTCACAAATTCCTGCTGCTGAAATCCTAAAGACTATTATAAGCCTCTCCTCTCTGAGACATCGTTTTCATCAATACCAAGCCATGCTGACCTAGCCAACAAACAATGATTGAAACAGTAATAAAACTAACATTTATTGGACATTCATGATGAAACAGGCGATGTTCTTAGAGCTTCATCTATATTGTTTCACTCAGTCTTTATAACGAGCTTATGAGGTAGGTAACATAAAGACCTTGATTTTAGAGATGAGGAAGCTGAAACACAGACAGGTTAACTGATTTGCCCACTTACCTAAGGTCACATGGCTCATAAGCAGCAGGGTGAAGATTTGAATCAACAAAGGCCATATTCCTAATTATTACACTGGAGTGGCCTCTACCCTTCAGGAAGTCGTAGAAACCCGATCTCAACACAACCCAAAGGAGCCATGTTGTAGCCACCACTGACATGGGCAGTGCACCAATAGCTTCCGCTAATCCAGTGCTCACTGTGGCCCCAGAGAACAGCAAACTGGACTTGGGATGGCTGCAGATTCAGCAGATGGTCACCTGAGGAACATCCACCAGGGACAGGAGGGTGCGTCCTGCTCCAACACACAAATCATATTCTCCCTCTACTGTGGCTAGAGAGGTTGGATGTGGTTGTTTACCTGTCACCCTAGGATACATTTACCCTTACTGATCCAGGAAGAGATGTAATTTAGACCCTAAGGTTGGGAACTTTTTCAGTTTTTAAATTATATCAGGAGATCCATGCAGGCTTCACCTGGAAAGCAAGCACTGGGAAACAAGCCAGAGAGACATCAGCATGCCAAGAGGCAGGAAACAGATTATCCTACACAGTTATAATTGGTGACATTACCAGGTTTAAAATATATTTATTGGGCCAGGAACAGTGGCTCATGCCTGTAATCCCAGCACTTTGGGAGGCCAAGACAGGCAGATTGCCTGAGCTCAGGAGTTCAAGACTAGCCTGGGCAAGATAGTGAAACCCTGTCTCTACTAAAATACAAACAGTGAGCTGGGCTGGTGGTGAGCACCCGTAATCCCAGCTACTCAGGAGGCTGAGGCACGAGAATTGCTTGAACCCAGGAGGTGGAGGTTGCAGTGAGCCAAGATCACACCAATGCACCCCAGCCTGGACAACACAGTGAAACTCTGTCTCCAAAAAAAAAATGTATTTATTGAATTGACAGGAAATAAGATATCAGATTGTTGGTTTTACTTGTATAAATTGTAATATAAGTATTTTAATTATTGAAGACTTTGGAGGTATATGAATTTTCAGTAGCCAACATGCCATTCTGAATTGAGAATATGAAGGGATACAGAATGGATGGTGACGATGATTTATCTCGTAATGACTTTGGGTCCTACAGTAGGTCTACACCACCTTAATTTTAAAAATAGCATCACACTAAGAGTCAGAAAACCAGTATTTCTCAATTTTACCAGCTCTCCCTAATTTTAGTCTCTAATTGCCCTTAAATCCCTTCTAAATCATTCTGAGAGTAGCCAGGCACTGATTTTGCTTCTCTATGGCACAGGCCATTTTCTCTACTCTTTTCCAGCCCTCTGTGGCCATTCCCTCCATGTCCGCTGTCCTACTGATGTCCCTGATGGCACCACTGCTGCTATAGAAACCAACTATAGGGGCCTATGTCACTGTAACTTTCACCAGATCTCTGCAGAGGCCTTCAGTGCCTGCTCTTCCAGCATTAAGGCCTCTGAGGAGATGCCATTTCCTGTCCCTGCAGGAGGTGCCAGCACCAGAGTGTCTGCCTCTGGCACACTCTCTGGTCCTCAAAGAGCACAGGCACACAGCCTCCTGGAGTCATCACTTTCCACATTGCAGCCACTTCAGCCTGAGAATAACATACCAGGTGTCATCCAAAGTCACTTTCCTTTTCTCACTTGCCCATCATCTTTGAACCAATTTTGTTCACCCATTTGTCTTCCTGCAAGGTATCCTCTCTTGCTGAAGGCTTCATGATCACTCACGTAAATAGACACTACCTCTTCCAGACATTCCAGACTTGTCTGAATACACGGGTAAACATGATTCAGCTCAGACTGGAATTCTTTCAGTCATATCTATTACCATTATTGCTATTATCCCATCATTACCATCATCATCATTATGTTGATGATAATGATGATGATGATGAACTGGAGTCTATTAGTGACACTTGCTATATATCAGACCACATTGGGGAAAATTAAATGTACTCCTCTATCTCATTTTTCCAACATAAAAACATTTCTAAAAGAATTCCATATTTAAAAAGCCTAGCACAGCATTTTTCTTCTTTAAAATAAACATAATTGACTTTATGTGCTTGAGAAAAAAATATATGTAATAAGCCTAGCACTGAGTTTTTCTTCTTGCATATGTATACAATTGCTGTTGCATGTTAAAATAATAAGTAAAAAAGAAGCTTCAAAATGGCCTATCTGTAATATTTTTGGCTTAGGAGTGAAAAGGTCTAGGTTCTAATCATGCTTCACTCTTTAACTCACTGTGTGCCTTTGGAAAAGGCTCAAAACCATGCGAGACTTCAGGTTCCTTATTAATAAAATGAAGTTGTTTTAAGAAACATTTTGTGGCTATTCAATTTCAAGAACAGAGTGTTTAACAAATAATAATTATTTTCATTTCTGATCTCTCATTTTTCAGCAAGAATTATACCCAAAAAAACCCATGTTAAGTGTCAGTTTTGGCAAGCTGCTATCAGTTATAACTATGTGACTGGTAGATGAACACATAAACCAAGAGACAAACAGATATTAATAAGATGGTTAAAGGGAAAGCTCAAAACATCTTGTCACCAGTGTGTTACTGATGAAGCAAACTATGAGTTATGGCAGTGAGTACAACGATCCGATCTTCAATATCTGAATATCCATGTATTGATGTATGTATATATCTATTTATCTATCTTTCTTTTCTCCAATCTTCAATATCTGAATATCCATGTATCGATGTACGTATATATCTATTTATCTATCTTTCTTTTGTTTCTACCACAACCACAATTATCTTGATTCCATGGCTAGCAGCCTTAACTATACCACAAGAGCAGCAGAAACAAGGGAGAGACGTGAATAAAAGACAATCACTACCCTGATTTTCCTTCTTCATTCCTACGCCTCCCTGCCTCAGCTTCACTCCATTCTTATGGATGTCCATATTTCACTGAAGATTCTTCTGACAGCAAAAATTACCATTATGAAACATTTTTACATGATTTAACAGGGATTCAGAAATTTTAGATTTGTACAAGCCAACTTCTTCTCTTTTATTTGAGACACGATCTTGCTTTGTGGCCCAGGCTGGAGTGAAGTGGCATGATCATAGCTCACTTCAGCCTTGACCTCCTGTGTTCAAGTGATCCTCTTGCCTCAGCCTCCCAAGTAGCTAGGACTACATGTGCACACCACCACACCTGGCTAATTTTTTTTTTTTTTTTTGGAGAGGTAGGGTCTCACTATGTTGCTCAGGCTGGTCTCAAACTCCTGGGCTCAAGCAATCCTCCCACCTCAGCCTCACAAAGTGCTAGGATTACAGGTGGGCCAGTATGCCCACCTGCAACTTATTCTTTTTATTTGAAAAATCTAGACATTAAGAATATGTTAGGAACTGTGTTTGCAACTGCAAAGAACAAAAAGATGAATCAGATACAGATGCTTCCCTCAAAGAAATAGCATTTGAGAATGTACTGGAGAATGGGATTTTCTGCACTTTTAACATGCTGTGTTGCTGTGTTGCTGCACAACAAGTTACCCTAAAGCTTAGTAGCCTAAAACAGCACATATTTATTATTTCACAGTTTCTCTGGGTCAAGAATTTGGGAGTAACTTAGCTGTTCTGAGCCAGATCTTTCATAAAGTTGATGTTGGGATTTGAGTGAGGGCTGTAGTCATCTAAAGGCTTGACTAGGGCAGCAAGATCTGCTTTCATCATGCCTCGCACACATGGCGGATGGCAGGAGGCCTCAACTGCTTGCCACATTGGCCTCTGCACACAGCTATTGAGCATCCTCACAACATGGCAGCTGCTCTCCCCACAGCAAGTGATCTGAGAAAACAGAAATGTGGAAGCAGCCATGTCCTTTATGGCCTACCCTCAAAGACATACATGATTATTTCCAAAATATCTTGTTGGTTTCATAGGTCAGCCTTTTTTAATGTGGGAGGAAACTACACAAGACCATAAATGCCAGGAAGGCAGAGACCATTGTGGGGTCATCTTGGAACCATTACAATGTGTAACGGACTCTCCCCAGGTCTCACTTGCAGGTCAAAGCTGCATCAATATTTCAGACTTCACCAGCTCACGCCCCAATCACTGAATCAACATTCCAAGCTCCAAAAAGTCTCTTTTCTTCCCCAGCATTTCTGCCGCTTCCTAGAGAGCCTGCCCCATTGCTGCACAGAACCGTTCTCCTACCCAAGGGTGCTGCTGCATGAGGAATTGCCACTGAAGAAATGGAGCACTCGGTGCCAAACCAGGCAGCGTTTGCTTCAGAGCCAAGGGATCTCTTCTTCACTCAGAATCTCCATTCCCCTCTGGTAGCTAGGTTTTTCTTAATTAGGTCAAAGTCATCACCTTGAGTCCTTCCTCCCTCGGCTTACGTTCTCTTCCAGAAGGCTCCTCAACCCTCATTTGTTACTCAGTTCACCAGACTGACCTAGATAAGTCTTTATTACCCTTAAACTAGGCATTTCTACCCTCTCCTTCCTGCTTATGTCCTGTTATATTTACAAAAATAAAGTCAAAATTTAAAAATGCCTTGAGATCGGAAAATATTTTTATACATTTGCTGAGTCTCAGCCCTTGATGGTATCTTTCTACTAACTAAATTTCCATTACTGCTACTCTCGCAATTAGGTCAAATGGAGTCTGGAGTTCAGAGTCCAGCCCATCAGTCACTGTGGTGCTAACCTGTAGTGATAAACCCTGTAGCCACACATGGGTGGATGAGCAGACAGGTCAACAGCCACTTTAGCTTAATGACTGTGGAAATGCTGCCTACATTTAACACAGAAGCTTGCTCTGCATTTTTGAATGAAAGGGAAGAAAGCAAATTTTATGATACTATAATAAACTTACTTATCTCCATTATGGAAAAAAACTATATTTTTAGTCATTCTACTTAGATATTCCTCAATAAAATCTGAATTTTTGCCAAAAGCTGGAATGAACTGTATGAAAGGTTACATTGTCACTGGAGCCATTAACAGTTCATCCTTCTATCCCTGATTGGAAGCTCTTTGCCTTAAGTCAAAGTTTCTGTCACCATGGAAGCCAGAAAACAGAATAGAAGTAAAATGGCTCAAGACGCTCATTTATAAAAGGAGTTGTGAATTGTGTAGCAGAGATCCAAGGCAGACAATAATAAATGAGGCAAGTTCCCATCTGATTTTTAAAGTTGTACACAGTTGAAATTCTCATTTATGGAATTAGTTTAGGATGTGAATTTATGCATTCAGAATTGGAACGTGAAGATTCAGCATTATCATGGCAGAAGTCTAGCTTTGTTCTGCAAGTCTTTCTTCATAATGATAATAAAGGTTAATCGTGTCTCACCACAAAAAAAAATGTTGTGTGTATGTAAGGCATATGCTAATTAGCTTGATTTAGACGTTCCATAATGTATACGTGTTTCAAAAAAAACATGTTATACATGATAAATATATACAATTTTTGTCAATTTAAAAAAATAAAAAAATTTAAAAAATTATTTTCCCCTCTTTGGTGATCATCACCACTTCTCTCTCTTTTTTTTCCTTCAACTTTTTATTTTAAGTTCAGGGGTACATGTGCAGGATGTGCAGGTTTCTTACACAGGAAAACATGTGCATGGTGGTCTGCTGCACAGATCATCTCATCATCCAGGTATTAAGCCCAGCATCCATTAGCTCTTCCTCATGCTCTCCCTCTCTTCGCTCCTGCCCCAACAGGTCCCAGTGTGTGTTGTTCCCTCCCATGTGTCCCTGTGTTCTCATCATTCAGTTCCCGCTGGTAAGTGGGAACATGCAGCGTTTGGTTTTCTGTTCCTGAGTGAGTTTGCTGAGGATAATGGCTTCCAACTCCATCCACGTCCCTGCAAAGGACATGATCTCATTGGTTTTTATGGCTGTTATGTTAATCATGGTACTACAACTTTTAGTCGGGAATGTCTCAATACATTGAACAATATGAAGGATCACCTCAAACAATTAACTCCTTGGGAACTGATGCGAGTTGTACTAGTTTTTATTAGTTTGCTGCTGTAAAAAAATTATTACAAATTTAGCAGCTTAAAAAAACACCCACTTGTTATCTGGAGATCAGAGGTTCTGTCACAGCATAGCTCAACTGATCCCCCTGCTTAGGATATCACAAGGCTAAAAACAAGGTATTGGCAGGGGTGCATTCTTTTCTGGACACTCTGGCAATGAATCCACTTCCACGCTTATTCAAGACAGTGGCTGGACTCAGTCACTTGTAGTTGTAGGACTGAGGCTTCTGTTTCTTTCCTGGCTGATAGCCAGGACTGTTCTTACCCAGAGAGATCATTCTCTGTTCCTCTTTGTACATGACCTTCTCCATCTTCAAGCCAGCAATAGCATATTGAGTCCTAGTGACTCTTCAAATATCTCTGGCTTTCTCTTCTGCTGTCAACCAACCAAGGAAGCTTGGTCTTAAGGGTCCACATGATTACTTTGGGCACACCTGGACGATCCATGATAATCTCCCTGTTTTAAAGTCAGCTGACTAGTAACCTTAATTGTATCTGCAAAGCAGAGTATATATTTGCAGATATAATTAAGAATTTGCCATGTCAGGTAACATATTCACCGGTGTAACACCAGAGAAGGAAGGTCATGGGGCCAAAGTTCTGTCTGTCACATGGGGGATGAGTGTAAAGAAGGATTTTCCCCTTAAAATAAATATTTCTCTATTACTTGGACTTTTTTCTTAATACAAGCAAATACTAGTTTTGTGATTTTTAAAGCTTTTTTATTTTAAAGATTAAAAATATTCAAAGTCATCTATTTTCAAGTATACTAAATTCCTTCAGAATCCTTCTTTCACAAATAATATAAATTGCATTCTTATCTGTTAATTTAAATACGGAAATCTACTAGCTATCATTGTTTGGCTTAATTTGATTTAAGAGCAACACTTTAAAGTTATATCTGTGAAGATTTAAAAAAAAATGTTTTTCCAAAGGTATTACTGACATCACATGCGGAATTGAAACTATATCTTTTTTAAAGAAAAAATTGTTAAATAATTAATTAAGCAATCTAGATTTTAAAATTAATGTGCATTTTGTACTCTCAGCGCTAAGTGTCATATACAGAAGATACACAGAGATACACAGAAGAGGGAAATGGCACCCATGTTACTTATAATCTCACTGAGAAGGCAAAGATAAAAACACAAAATAATAATTTACTCTCTGTGTTATGTATAATTTGTACCTTTGGAATTCAGAAGAAGGTACTGTCACTGCCTTGGTGAGGATATTTCCCATAAAAAGTGGAATTTGAATTTGTCAGTAATGCTCTGCCTTTTTGAACCTATGTCCCTCAACTCCTCCTTCCCAAAGAGGAAGTCTGGTTTGAGCCTAGCATTCGAAATCCTGAGGGAGGGAGTAGCTGTTGTGTCACTATATTTCAATCTCCTCTTATCACGCTAGTACAAATTCTTCAGGGCCCTGAAACAGACAGATGCAGAGGCAATTCATGCAAATTATGATGGACTTCGCTGTCTCAGATCACAAAAGTCAGAAGTTATCACAATAAACTTAATGCCTCCCCTACATGTTATTTAGTACTCAGTGATAAAATGTGAAATATGTAGCATTTGGAACAGCAGTTAAAATTGTCAACAACCCAATATTCTAATTCTATCATACTCATTATAACCTTTAAAATATCATCAGTTTCACCTTTGGCTCTCCTAAACTGGCCGACTTAGGATTTTGGCATTGCATAAAGGTTGTTACCATACTGCTTTTCTTTTCATGTTTATAACTAGGATTCCCCAACTTCCTGGAAATATCCAGAAGTTTAAAATAATTTATCTGGAATGTTAAAAGTTTCCCTCAGACAATGTCCATTTCTTTTCACCAGTTATCAAATAGATAATTTAATTGAACTAAAAACATCACTTATAATAAACCATCCCAGAAGAGGTTAGCAGCCAAAGTCAAAGACATGAATGTCTGGTATTCTAAATCCAGTTACATTTGCCAAAATTCTGCGTAATTTTAGTAACATTACACAGAGCACTTCTAAGACAGGCTCTCTGTGCCACTCAAGTAGGCTGTAAGCTGGGACCAAGACATACTGAATTTTTTAGTCCTATCAGAGTATCATTAATTTAAACGACACTGTTAAGTTAGTAAATAATAAAATGTTTTGTCTTTTTATAGCATTCTGCAGTCTAGAATACCTAAGTGCACTTTTACAGAATAATATGCAGCACAGCAGTTGCATTTTCTAGCTGCTGCAAGGCATAGTAAAAAGAACATTGGTTTTGAAGTCAGACATTAACTAGGCTCAAAAGAAGCCTAAGCAATCCCTATCAAAATACCAATGATCGTCTTCACAGAAATTTTTAAAAACTCCTAAAATTCATGGAATCACAAAAGACCCCCAATAGCTAACACAATCCTGAGCAAAAAAGAAAAAGCCAGAGGCATCACACTACCTGACTTTAAAATATATTACAAAGCTATGGTAACCAAGACAACATCGTTCTTGCATAAAAACAGACACATACAGTCATGGAACAGAATAGACAGCCCAGGTTTAAATCCACATATTTACAGCCAACTTATTTTTTACAAAGGCACTAAGAACCCTCATAGGAGAAAGGACAGTCTCTTCAATAAATGTTGCTGGGAATACTAGATATCCATATGCAGAAGAATGAAACTAGACCCCTATCTCTTACCATATACAAAAAAAAATCAACTCAAAATGTAAGACTAGAAACTGTAAAACAACTATACAAAAACATAGGGAAAATACTTCAGGACGTTGGTCTGGGCAACGACTATGTGGAGCAGACCTCAAAAGCACAGGCAACAAAAGCAAAAATAGACAAATGGGATTGTGTCAAACTAAAAAGCTTCTGCACGGCAAAGGAAACAATCAACAGAATGAAGAGACAGCCTGCAGAATGAGAAAAATATTTGCAAACTATTCATCTGATGAGGAATTAATATCCAGAATATACAATGAACTCAAACAACTCAACAGCAAAAAAAAAAAAAAAATCCAATTTAAGAATGTGCAAATGAGCTGAATGAACATCTCTCAAAAGAAAACATACAAATGGCCGACAGATATATGAAAAAATGCTCAACATCACCAACCATCAGGGAAATACAAACTAAAACCATGAGGAGATATCATTTTACCCCATTTGAAATGACTATTATCATTATCAAAAAGACAAAAAATAGTAAATGCTATGAGGATGCAGAGAAAGGGGAACTCTTATACACTGTTGGTGGGAATGTACATTAGTATAGTCATTATAAAAAACAATATGGACAGTCACAAAAAACTAAAACTAGAACTACCATATAATTCAGCAATCCCACTAATGAGTATATATCTAAAGGAAAGAAAATTGGTATGTTGAAGAAATATCTGTACTCCTGTGTTTATTGCAGTACTATTCATGATAGCAAAGATATAAAATCAACATAAACAGGTTGATTTGCCCATCAACAGCTGAACACATAAACAAAATGTAGTGTATATACACAATGGAATAGTATAAAAAAATGAAATCCTGTCATTCGTGGCAACAATACATGATCGTGAAGAACAATATGTTCAGTTAAATAAGGCATAGAAAGTTAAATATCACATGTTCTCACTCGTGTGTGAAAGCTTGAAAAGTTGATTTTATGCACATAGAGAGTAGAATAGTGGTTACTAGAGCCTGGAAAGGGTAGAAGGGAATGGGGATAGTGAGAGGTTCATTGGTTAATAGTTTCAAATTAATAGCTAGAAAGGAGAAATAGGTTCTGGTGTTGCATAGCACTATACGGTGACTACAATTAACAAGAATTTATTGTATATTTTCAAATAGTTAGAAGGGAGATGTTGAATGTTTCCAACACAAAGAAATGGTAAATGTTTGAGATGATGGATAGGATAATTAGCCTGATATAATTACACATGGTATACATGTATCAAAATGTCACACTGTACCCCATAAATAGGTACAATTGTTATATGTCAATTAAAAATAATAAAAGAAAAAAGGTTAAGGTAACTTTTTTTTAAGTAACCTAAGTACTTCACCAACTATAAGACAATGGTCAATTCTGGTAACTTCTCTGGGCCTTAGTTTCTCATCAGTAATATGGAACTAGTAACATTTATTTCTCAGGTAAATATATGTACCAAATGGAAGAACTGAAATCAATTAAGACATATAACAAAAACTAAACAAAATACTGCAATTTCTCTCTTATAAGGACATTGAAACTCAGATGTTAGAATATTTCTCCAAAATTTTGCTACAAATTAATTAAAGTGTCCAGGCTAAAAATTAGATTGTTTTTCTAGACTTTAGTAAAATGAGTTGTAAATAATACATGTATGTCTTTGTGACCTTTCACACACAGGGGAAGAAATGGGAAAGACAGGCAGACTGAAATCTGATGTCACTATCCATTTCCACGCTTCCAGCATTAAGAAAATGGCAGAATCTCTTGCACATGGAATTTCTACAGGGAGCCGTGAACCAGGATGTAGTCAAGGGGCTAATCTTCTAGGCTGTTCCATGCCTGCACAAAACACTCTCAGTACAGGACACTTTCTGTAACCAATTTTACCCGAGGCAGAGAACCACATGCATCCTTCCCAAGTGGCAATATTATCTCCACTTCACAAATGGGTCCCCTCTGGGATCTGATGTGAGCAAAGGAAATAATCAGGAACTACAGGGGAAAAAGAGGCTACTTTGAGATCTAATGTAAGCTCTTTTTCAGGAACTGTGAAGCATGCAATGCCATCATAATGTAAAAGGCATTAAACTGTCAGAGTGAAGATCCTGTCTTCAATCATGTAAAGTCCCTCAAGATTTCAATGTTCAATTTTGCGTTAAGAAATCTCCTGACCCTCTCCTCCAACCCAAAACAGAAAAGTTGCCTTAGAAAGGGGAACAAGTTGAAATATTTTAATAGACTGTGTGGTGCATTAAGATATATCAGGTAAAACTGCAAACCCTTTTTTAAAGTTACATAGATTTAAACCCAAATTCAATGAGTATTCCATAAGTAATTCCATAAGTAGTGTAGATGATCTATTATTTTGCTTAATAAGACAAAAAGTCAAAATCTATTGACAAGTTGTTGATAATCAATTGTCAGGATTTTCCTATTTCAGTCCCAGTGCTGGTTACTGCATAAAACTTATTGTTTAAGTAGGCTATGCAAATATCCTTAGGAATGGATATGTTTCCATATACATTCTGAAATTTGATAAATATGTTTTATTTTCCACTTTGAAGTGGAAAATGCACTGATAACCACTGTTTAGGGGGATCTAATTTTATATCTGATGGCATTTTAAAATCTAGAGACTCTTTATTAATAAAAGTTTACTGATAAAAAGCAAATGTTTTGTCTTCACAGATACAATGAAAACAACAACGGAGTAATACCTTCTTTTCCCCTTTTCATCCTTCCCTCTTTTTTTGCTGTCTTCTAGGAGCATCCTTATGAGAATCTGAGACCTAACTATTAAGATAAATGACTTTGCTGAACATGAATTCCCACAAACTCTCTCTGTGCTATATTCTTCTGCCTCTGGTTTCTCATTCTCTTAAAGGGCTCTATCGTCTATGGATGATGACAGAAAAATCACTCATAATTGCTGAGCCACAGGAAATGGGGTATAAAATTAATACTGCCTTGAAGGATCCAAATAGAATCCCTGCCACCTATAGGGGAAACCAAGAGTATTGTGTTCAATGACAATTTTTCAAATTTTGTAGATTTTGCATTCATGCTGAATTCAAAATGTCTGAATTTTGTCTCATTTACTTTATTAGTAAGAGCTCATTTAAAAAGATAAAACCCTGGTGTCCAGAACCTAAGGGAAATCAGAAAACACTAAATGAAAATTGTCCATGGATTTAATGATATGTTAAGCTATTCCGTCTTAAACATTGTAACAGATTCTTGTTAGAATCAAGAAGTAATTGAGCAAAAGTTTTGATTTTCACCTAAATTCATGGTGACGTAACCTGTGTTTATAGAGAAATATATTGTATCATAGACTGAAGTTTATAAGCCTACTTACTTAGAGTATCATGGAACAAAACAAAAGAATAACTACAAGGAGAAGAGCCATTAAAAAAGTTATATTTTTCAAGCCAAATAGTTTGCAGTCTATAAATGTGAACATATTCTAAGTACGGACATTTTCAAGTGCTTTTTGAAATAGTAAAAGCCAATTTAAGTGAAATCTTAGAATCTCAATAATTAAAACAATTAAAAGGGCAGATGCATTAATTAAAGTAGGTACCAGTGCTAAAGGCTCAACCTCTCCCTCACCCTGTAAGATTGCTTCTAGGCCAGACACGGTGGCTCACGCCTGTAATCCCAGCACTTTGGGAGGCCTAGGTGGGCAGATCACCTGAGGTCAGGAGTCCAAGACCAGCCTGGCCAATATGGCTAAACCCCATCTCTACAGAAATACAAAAATTAGCCAGGTGTGGTGGCAGATGCCTGTAATCCCAGCTACTAGGGAGGCTAAGGCAGGAGAATGGCTTGAACCCGGGAGGCAGAGGTTGCAATGAGCCGAGATGGCGCCATTGCACTCCAGCCTGGGTAACAGAGCAAGACTCCGTCTCAAAAAACAAAGATTGCTTCTAAAGCACCTCCATAAAAGCCTAGAAATCATCAATTAGAAGACCACTGTGTAAAGATCCTGAAGGCCTGAGTTCTAACACTGCATCTGCCACCAAGAACCTGAATGACATTGGACAGACCACTCAACGGCTGTGGCCTACTCTGTACAATAAAGGAGCTGGGTAGCCAATGACAACCTTCCAAGTCCAGTAGTCTGTAATTCTGAGAGTTGGAGCAGGGTTCACTTGTGTTCCCATTGCTTAGCAGGATTCAAATCTGTACATGATGTTAGCCAGCGCACTTTTGCTAACACTGTTTCAGTTTTCCCCCGCTTTGTCCCTCCTGAACTGACAGACTCAGGACTTGGCAGTGCACAGAGGTGGTTGCCGCACTGCTGTTCTTTTCACGTCGTTAACTATTTTCAAATGATGTGTAGTGGAGTCACTTAATCTAATCTTTCTGACCCCTGGTTTCTATTTGTGGTTTCTAGACAATTACAAAGTGTTCTTCTAAAACTCAGATTCTATGATTTGTTTGACATTCTCAAAGTTCGAGTTTTACTTCCTGTCTCTTACTTCAAAGAAAAATACAAGGTTTAAGAAACTCAACACTAATATAATTAGTGTTGGGCCCACAAACCTGAAGACCCTATAACTAAGTTGTTATTAGACCAGAGAATAACCCACTCCAGTCCATTAAATACATATGTAATTCATGTGGTTAAATTCATGTGGAAAATGCATGGTGCTAATATCCTCTAACCTTGATTGAGAAATCCATATACAAGGGTGGGATGAAAGAATCTCTAACTATACTGATTTTAAGTAACATCTCACATTGCAAAACCAAAAACAAAATTAAAAAACCCTAATAACTCCACAAGGAAACAATGGCTAAGATTCCCTATACAGGTTAGCACAAAAGAAAGCCGTTGAAAGAGGTGACACTGGCTGGGCACAGTGGCTCATGCCTATAATCCCAGCACTTTGGGAGGCTGAGGCGGGAGGATCACTTAAGCCCAGTAGTTCAAGACCAGCCTTGGTAACAAAGCAAGATTCCATTTCTACAGGAAAAAAAAAAAAATTTAATTAGCCAGGTGTGGTGGCACATACCTGTGGTCCTAGCTACTCCGGAGGCTGAGGTGGGAGGATTGCTTGAGCCCAGGAGGTCAAAGCTGCAGTGAGCCATGATCATGCCACTGTACTTCAGCCTAGGCAACAGAGTGAAACCCTGTCTCAAAAAAAAAAAAAAAAAAAAAAAAAAAAAGAGAGAGAGAGAGAGAGAGAAAGAGGAGACACTGCCTTCAACCTCCCCACCACAACCTGAATACAGCTTCCCTTAAACTTAAAGAGAATGGGGATGTCCTAAGAATATGATCTGTCCTAAAATTCAAAATAATGCTCATTTCCAATCTTCTCCTGAGTATTTGCATAGTTTTCAGGGTAATAGACTCAGTTTCTCATGTATTTTGTAAGCAGGAAATTCAAGGGCTTACCCTGGACCTGGAGGATGGAAAAAGCTAAGGTCAGGGAGAAATCACGCCTGAATCTACAACCATGCACCATTCAGGAGTCTGTGCAGATTGAACTGTGTTCCATAAAACATGTTTCTGCTTAATATGGATCTAGACACTACTGTTTTTGAAAATTAGTATTTGGGGAATGAGTGAGCTTTATGGGTACACATGTGTATTCTATTCAATAGTTACAAATTGAATGATGATGAAAAATTCTTAATCTCCATTTCTCTTGGAGAAATGAAGAGAATCAGATTGGAAGTTTCTAAATCCACTCTGGATGTTTCTACTGTACTAAGATTGCCAAGGCTCATCCTAGACCCTCCTGCCAAGCCTACTCCAATCCCTGCCACTGCATGTTACAGAAGACTTGAAGTCTCAAAGGTAGGAAAGTGGATTGCTTGGGTCCTGCTACCAGTAAGTAGAAAAAGATATCCTAGAGCAATATTGAGCCTCACAGAAGTGAAGAAACAGTACATAGAGTTCTCAAGAAAGAAGTGTTCTTTCCTATAAGAGGGTGGACACAAGGTCAGGGAGCAAAATAGGAAGGAACTGGGGCATTTTCTTGAGATAACAGCTAGAAAGCATTTATATGCCTGCATGTGTTTCATTGAATGATAAAAACTGTCACATGAGACAGAAATTAGACATTTTTTTCTTCCTAGAACATAGTTACCTTCTGTTCTCCCAACATTTTAGTAAAGTAGCAAATGCCTACACAGTGTGTATTTGGTAGGATGAAAAACCAAGGAGCAGGACAGGACAAGGAAGTGTGGTCTGGACCAATCACCTTTCTGTTGATGCTTACACAGGAAAAAAAGACCTTCTGAGAAATTTGGATCATAATCCCAAAAGACAAAATCCTCAAAGTTCAAAATCCCTAAATCCTAAATCCCTAAAATCTAAGATTCTTAAAATCACAATCCTGAAATATTAAAATCCTGAATGTTGAAATCCAAATTCAAGGGAAGGCATTGGTACACTTTTGGTTGTATGCATGATAGTTGCATCATATTATGTGGAACTGTTATCTTGTGGTTGACTTTATATGCATTTGGCAGAAAATCCAGATGAGTGGATTGGCCATGTGACACAGACAAGATGAAAACTTCCATTTTAAAAATGCGTTATTTGTCTACATTGGCATTCCTTCCAGTTGATGAAATTCCAGGAGCTTTTAATGAATTAAAGGGACATTTGCCTGAAGAAGCCAGCAAAGAAGTTACTGACTAGTTCAAGAATAATGATGTGCACAGAAGACACTTATGCAACAGCATTGCGGTTCAGTCACCAGTATTGGTTCCACCAAATTTGTGGTCTATGTATGAGTACATGTGGAATGGATTTCCGAGTACTCAAAACATCACAGAAGCAGGCACAAAAGATGAGAAAATTTAATAAGGAATTCTCATGTTCGTGTATATAGAATCATAGAAGAGTTTCAAAAAGAGCAGTGACACATAGAAAATGAAAGTGAATGTATTCTTCAATGAGAGCCATGCCCTAAAAGGAAAAAAAAAAAAAGCAGCTATTCATCTCAATTCATCTCAATGCAAGACTTCAAAAACTAGTTAATGATTATGAAATTCAGCCAGCTCTTATGAACTACCTCCACTCCTAATTTTCTATGCTATATATTTCATCTTTGCATCATTCCAAATATTGTACATAAAAATTGTGTACACTTTTAGAGAGGTCTAATTTGTCTTATGCACTTTGTGCAGGTTTGATTCTACAAAAGTGCATTATCACAACGTTGACTGGGTGTAAACATTGTGAGTGCACATAAAAACATTGGAACTTCCTCAATAAATAAAGAGGTGTCTTCTTTGTACATCTACATTTAAGAAAGATAACATTTTGTAAGATCTCGGTTCTTAGGTACCTGCATTTGCAGTGGTGACCCATCAAGGTTTTTCCTCAATCTCATCAAAAGACAGGTTGTCAGTCACGTTATTTCAGGTGACCGAGTTATAAAGATGGATGCACACAATAACCAACCATAGTGATAGACATTCATACATTTCACTTTTTGACCTATTTCTTTATAAATCCAGTTCGTCTGCTCATAACTGTTATAACCATGTCCTTATCTGAGTGCTTATTCTTGCAAAAATATGTATGCTATTCTTGCAGGACGTTTCCTTAGTTCGGCTAAAGATGGGGTCCTTGTCCATCCCATGGCCATGAAAATTTAGGCTCACAGACGGTCTGAAGCATGAGTAAAGCAGGGTTTCATTGGGTGAAACGGGGGAAAAGGGGGAAAACAGGGATCCTCTGCAAGGCCAGAGTCCCTTGCTAGAGTGCTTCCCGCTTGCAGCTTGAATCCCAGGTTCGACACAGGAAGAGGAGGGGTCAGGCTCCTCCCTGCTGGAAACAGCGGGAACTTCCCAAGGCTACAGCACCCAGTGGTACACCACCCAGTGCACATTCCTTCCAGTGAGCAGGAAGGTTGGAGTTGTTCCGGGGACCCCTTCCCACCTGGCTGTCTCATTCACCCCTCTAAAGAAGTCCATCTAACTGCCGTTAGAATAAAACTAAGAAGGAAGACCAATCTTAACTGCTTCCTGCTGACAGGGGGCGCTGTTTTAGGGAAATGGCAGAAGAAATAAATCTTCTAAAAATGTAAATTAGTATATTTTAAAGACATTTAGAATTATTTTTTTCTAGAATTATATTTCTGGGGGTTTGATATTTCAGGATTGTGATCTTCAGGATTTCAGATTTTAGGAATTTTGATCTTTTGGGATTATGCATCCAGGATTGTATCTTTGGGAATTACGACCGACTTCCCTTTTGAGACGCCTCTGGTCCAAGAATCCAAGGCAATGACCAGACGCAAAGTAAATGGTGGACAGCTGTGGAACTGAGACCAACAAGGTAGAACTAGCCTGGAAGAAGCAAGTTCAGCAGATGATTCAAGAGCTAAGATGAGACTAACTCTCATTTGTTCACATTTATATGCCAGGAAAGCCACAACTAAAGACAGAAACTGACATGCGGGGTTGCAGGAGCTTTAAACATTGGGCAAATTTAAATTGGGTACCTTGAGGTAAAAGGCTTTGTACTTCCCATAAGCTCTCAATGAAAATTTTGCCCTAACTTTATAACATACATTCTAAGATCAAATTTGTATGAAAGCACCACAACACAGGACAAGACCCTTGGGAGCAGAGAGAAGGAATGACCAGTTTATTAATGGGACACTAAACTTTCTTTGTTTTTTCAATATCTTGGGGGCTGACTAAATAATTTCATCCAGGTGTATAAGTGAAAACAACAGTCATAACAACAACAACAAAAAATTATTTTATCAGGGCAGGCTTTAAAAACCAAACACATATATTAGGCTTGAAAAGCTACCAATTGCTGTAATTTCATTTAGCTTGCAGACCACTTCTAAGTTGGGAAAATATGATTGCAAAACCTATAAAAACCTAATGAAAGCTTTGGGGTTTCTCCCCCACCCCCAGTCTGGCATAAAATAGTAGGAGTAAGAGTAACTCTCCATTTTCCCCACCCACAGCTTAGATATCATAAGATAATTATAAATTATGTTGTGATGACCACAAGCTGCACTCGAACAAGTGTCTCTCACCCACTGACCCCAGATATGCCCCTCAGTACCTGTTTAAAGATCCCCTCCAATAACATAGGCATTTGCTTGAAATTGTGCTTGGAGCTTGAGTTCAACTAAATTTTTACTAAGCTATTTAAAATGAATTACATGGACTAAATGGATCTTGAATCCTCTGAGGACAAATGCACCATATGAATACAAACACAGCATAGGGCTGTAAGAAAACTCTATTCCATTAAGGGATAAGGCGAATCCCACAATAACAACAGAGGAGCCGGGAGACAAGTTGTGGGAGCTGCAGTGAGGTGAAACCACAGAGGGCTCCAGGAAAAAGCTGGTGTTGGCAACACAATGCTGCATTGCAGGTACTCTACCTGCCACTCAGGGACCACATATGTTCTGAATACCTAAGTGTTTTAGGGGTGGAAATGGTGACCCAAACTTATTTCTAACTCACAAGATAAATGAGACTGTGCTCAAAATCAGTTTCAGACTTCTCAAAAGAAGAATTATTTATAGATGCCAGGTATCATCATTCACAGAGAAGGATAGCAAATTGCCACTTCCAAGCCAGCCCAACAGAAAGCCCCCATGTGCTTCATGCTCTTCTCTCTTCCACCAGCTAGAGGCAGTTGATGATGAGGTCATGTGGATTCTTGCTTCTCAAAGTCTAGTCTATGAACCAGCCCCATTGGCATCACTCAGTGCTTATTAAAGACGCAAAATCTTGGGTCCCATTCCAGACCTCCTGAAACAGAATCTGCCTTTTAACAAGCTCCCCCAGGTGATTCATATATGCATTGAAATTTGAGAAGCACTGGTCTAGACTGGTGGTAGGATGCTAGAGCTGCCAGATGAAAAGAGCATGAGTCCCTGAATTGCCACATGGAGGAAAGCCACCAGCTGACCAGAAACATCTGCCTGGGATTCATGAAAGACTTGGAAAGAAACTGGGTATAAGCCATTACATTTTTTTGCTTCTATTTGTTAGCACAGATGAGCCTACTCTAACAAATACAACGAAACATATCTATTTCTAAACCATCTGGAGTCTGAACTCTGTCCTTCTGGAATTTGGAATATCAACAAAATTCTTAGAAGCAGATTGAATTAACCAAGAGACTATTTTACCACATGACAATCTGTGTATGGCTTCAAGTCAAGTGTGTGTGTGTTTTTTTATATATATACTAGCAGATAAGTTGTATAAAATAAGGGTAGGATTTTTCAACCTTCATCTATTTCCAGGTCAAGCTTCCCTTCTTTCCATTATTCCATAATGTTATCAAGTCCTTTTTGAAAGGGCCAGTGTCAGTTTCAGCATCCCTGCTGGCTTTGAGCATCTATCATTTTAAGAATGAAATGATTCTTCATGGCATATTATGAGCCTTTTTTGTCAGGTAGTTAACTAAACTGGCACCAGTTAACTGTGATCTAAACTTTATATTGACAGATCTGGCAACAGACTGACATTCCTTGCACTAATTTTGGCTGCCCAATCTGAAAAAAAAAATATGTTTGAAATATGATTTATCTTAAGCTGACAGCAGTCTTCATCGGGGTGCCAGCCACTGACAGAGTGAGGGAAAGGACCCAGCATAAAATCCTAGCTGAATATGCTTGTAAGTCAGGAAGAAAGAATTTAGGGCTCCTGTTCCTCAAAGTCATAATTTAATTTAACAACCAAAGCTGGAAGGAAAACAAATGTTTCTTAGTAAGCCTCACCATCAACAATCTATTTTTCTCCCATACCACATTTGTCTTACCTTGTAAAGCCCAGGATTACCTTCCCCAAGTCTTACGATAATATCTGACACACACCAACTATTCCAGCAACTCGGTAGAGCCCCTGAAATGCAATTATAAGAAAAGATCTAATAAGCCAAAGATTAGTGACAGAAATGTGAGCATTCTTAAGTGTTTTTCTTTGGGGCTGATGTGAAAGCCAGAAACTAACCAGCTGAAGGAATAATGATACAGAAGGAAGTGACAAAATTGGAAAGATCCATCAGCATAGTCATGGTGCAGAAATGACAGTATCTGGGTAGTAACAGCATCATTTGACCATTAAATCCTAAATTGTTACATCTCTCTTTTCCTAATGAAAATAAGATGCAGAAATACTTTCAGACATTAACAAGAAGCTGTCTAGAACGTTACTGATATTTCTTAGACCAATCATGCTTTATTAACAACATAAACCCAAGTTTTTAGACTATGCCAGCACTCTGTGCAAATACGTTAATATGTAGCTGTTCACTGTCATCTTTTATTTTTGGTATAATTTGGTATGAGGTGTGTATTTGTGTATATGAATAGTAATGATGAGCAAAATAAAATAGCCCTGGATTCGTTGTTTAAATTCTTGCATTGGTATTTATGGCAATAAAGGAGATGGGGGAGGGGAATATATACTGCCTAGAAGCTGAAATTATTTCCTAATGCCATCAAGCTAGAGTGAATGAAGTTCTCCTGGGGAAATACTATTCATTCTAATGGGCTGAATTGGACACTGTGGTGCCATTAAGTGCATACTAAGTGATCATTCACCAAAAGGTAACCTTTGGTGTTTTAAAAAAAAGGGAAAGAAAGAAAAAATAAAAGCTTCAGCCTCTTTACCTCTATTTACATTTTCAGCAGCGAAAACATAAACATAGGAATATAAGCACATAAGATAAAATATAAATGTCTGTACACGGCAGGCCCCACGTCAGTGTCTGTGGGGTCCATGTCCTCTGCGTGCTCACCTGGATTCCCCTTCCTCATTATTTGCCATGGTGTCTGTGAGGCTCCCCTGTGGCTTCTCCCAGACCTCTCCTCCCAGGTAGCTCTCCATCCTCTGCTTCTTTTCTTACCTCCTCTCCCCAATTAAGCACATCTTTCCTGTGCCCCATTTCTTTCCTGCCCCTTCAAACAGATTAACCCATGCTAAGTTGCCAAAAGTTTGTATTCCTTTCCTGCTTTGAAACCAGATACACTTGCATCACAATCGCAGCCCTATTCACAATAGCAAAGATTTGGAATCAACCTAAATATCCATCGATGGATGATTGGATAAAGAAAATGTGGTACATATGCACCATAGAATACTACTCAGCCATAAAAAAGAATAAAATCCTGTCTTTTGCAGCAACATGGATGGAACTGGAGGCCATTATCCTAAGTTAAATAACTCAAAAACAGAAAGTCAAATACATGTTCTCACTTATAAGTGGGAGTTAAATAATGTATACACATGGACATAGAGTGTGGAATAATAGACATTAAAGACTCAGAAGGGTTGGAAGGGGTGAAGGATGAGAAATTAGTTAATGGGTACAATCTACAATATTCAGGTCATGGGTACACTAAAAGCCCAGATTTCATCACTACAAAATATATCCATGTAACAAAACAGCACTTGTATTCCCTACATCTATTTTTTTTTTTAATTTAAGTACAGCTGGGCATGGTGGCTCATGCTGTAATCTTACCACTTTGGAAGGCCAAGGCAGGCAGTTTGCTTGAGCTCAGGAGTTCAAGACCAGCCTGGGCAACATGGCAAAACCCAGTCTCTATAAAAAATACAAAAATTGTCTGGGTGTGATGGTGGGCACCTGTAGTCCTAGCTATTCAGGAGGCTGAGGTGGGAGGATCACCTGAGCCTGGGAAGTCAAGGCTACAGTGAGCTGGGATTGTGCTACTGCGCTCCAACCTGGGTGACAAAGTGAGACTTTGTCTCAAAAAAAAAATTTTTTTAATGTTTAACAATAAAAAAATACACTTTTAAGTTAAAAAAAAAGAAAAAAGGCAGATATAATTTTGAGTAGGCAGACTTCTTAGTTCCTTTCAAATAGCTTGATGAAGGTGGCTGCTTTTTCTGCCAGTGTGTAAGACTGATTTAGACATCAAGAAGACTTTGGAAGTGAAGGAGATCAAAATATTTTACCCCCAAATATATTTCTTTGACATATTTTGAAATGGCTGCTGCAGAGCCAGCACACTCAGGTAAGGATAATTTGCATCTGTGGAGAATCTCCATTAATGCCAGCCAAGCCCTCACTTTCTAGGACTTTTCTGGATCTAGGAGAGATTAACTGAGAGTGGGACACAGTGAAAGGTCTGAAAATAAACATTTACCATCTGTTGTCTCTGACGGCTGCTACCAGTGAGTCTTCATCTACACAACAAGACCACCTTTGCTAGCCAGGCATCCTCTTCTCTCCCTCCTGTAACTTGTCTTGCTACTGAAATTTGATTTACCGCCATCTCCTGTTTTTGGCCATGCTCTGGGCCTGCTTTCTGTCTCTAACCTCAAGATGGTATATAAGCTTCTGAACTTTATTGAGGTGTTGGGTGTTTGTTCTGAAGGCTTTCGTGTGTACATGTTAAATGAATGTGTATGCCTCACGCCAGTGATTATCAGTGAAATTCCAGAGGGCCAAGGGCCTCTTAAAAGAGATGGGATCTCACTTTGTGGCCCAGGCTAGAGAGTGCAGTGGAAGGATTGTAGCTCACTGCCACCTTAAATACTGGGCTACAGTGATGCTCCTGCCTCAGCCTCCTGAGTAGCTGGGACTACAGGTGTGGGCCACTGCCCCATGGCTACTTAGTCTATATGATTAAGGCCCTATATGGTGGCATATACACACCCCATTTTACAGGTGGTGTTCCTGAGGGTCAGAGACATGAAGTAATTTAGTCAAGGTCACAAAGTGTCAGAGTCAAGATTTAAAACCATCTGTCTGGTTCCCAAGTTCATTCATTTCCCTTGGCTGAGGCTGTGTCAGGCACAGCACATTGTGGATAATGAGATACATATTTGGGCTTTGTTCCCATTCTTGTCCCAGAGCACCTAAAACCCTTGGAATTTCCTGAGTGATTGAAATATCTTTTGTTATTGATAATGAGCCACTTTCCATCATCTGAGTTTGGGCTAATGAGGTGACTTAGGATGGGGTCCCCAGATAGCCTCAGGATGAGGCCAGGCACCTGAAAGACACAGTGCATAGAGGATTAGAAGGTTGAAACTTTCAGCCCTACCCACCAACCTCCAAGAAGAGGGAGGGGGAGTCTGGAGATTAAACTCTATAAAAACTCTTGAACCATGAGACTTGATGAGTTTCCAGGTTGCTGAACACATGGAGGAGCAAGGAGGGTGGCATGCCCAGAGTGGGCACAGAAGCTTCCTACCCTTTCCCCGTCCATACCTTGCCCCATGAATCTTTTCCATCTGAGTTGTACCCTTTACAATAAACTGGTAAATGTAAGTAAAGTGTTTCCCTGAGTTTGGGGGGCCATTCTGTCAGAGGTGTTTAACCAGAGAGACTTCATCTTGAATAGGGCCTAGGTAAAATAAGGCTGAGACCTACTGGGCTGCATTCCCAGGAGAGAAGGCATTCTTAGTCCCAGGATGAGACAGGAGGTCGGCACAAGATACAGGTCACAAGGACCTTGCTGATAAAACAGCATACAGTAATGAAGGCAGCCAAATCCTGCCAACCAAGATGGTGATGAGAGTGAGCTCTGCTTCTCCTCATTATACTGCTCGTTATACCCTCATTATAATGCATTAGCTACTAAAAGACACTCCCACCATTGCCGTGACAGTTTACAGATGCCATGACAATGTCAGGAAGTTATCCCATACGGTCTAAAAGGGGGTGGAACCCTCAGTTCCAGGAACTGCCCACCCCTTTCCTAGAAGACTCATGAATAATCCACCCCTTGTTTAGCATATAATCAAGAAATAACCATAAAATAGCCAACCATCTGCCTGTGGAGTAGCCATTCTTTGGTTTCTTTACTTCTCTAATAAACTTGCTTCACTTTATGGATTTGCCACAAATTCTTTCCTGCACAAGATCCAAGAACTCTCTCTTGGGGTCTGGATCAGGACCCCTTTCGGGTAACAATTTAAGCAAACTAGGAGGAGGTGGTCATGGGAACCCCTGATTTATAGTCAGTCAGTCAGAAGTATTGGGGGCCCAGACTTGCAACTGGCATCTGAAGTGGGGCACTCTTGTGGGACTGAGCCTTTAACCTGTGAGATCTGACACTATCTCCAGGTAGACAGTGTCAGAATTGAACTAAATTATAGCACACCCAGTTGGTGTCCAGTGGAGAACTGATGTGCGGGAAAAGCCGGCACTTTGTTCAAAGAAGTGTTTTGTGTTTGAGTGCAGACAGAAACGGTGAGTATGTGTTTCACCAGACATATTCTGTCCTATCATTCTGTCAGATAAATGGAAGGATGCATTTCTTTATTTTCTCATAAAGGGAATTTTTCTTAGACACAAAACTTTCCATCTATTATCTTTTCTAATTGATGTAAACAGTATAACTGCTTTCTCCCACCTGTCTAATGCAAAGCACTAACATATTAAAAAGTGTGTCTTGACCTGTCCTCCCCTCCTCTCTTGACTCATGTCAATATTTCAAATTTTGTCCTATTTAGGAAAACAAGGATTCTTTGTCTGCAGGATGTTCAAGATCGGGTTTATAATTCCTCTGGAATTATCTTTCCAGTGGAACAAGGAAAATAAACTGGAGAAACCTTTTGGGTGAAGATGCAGGTCATAAGCAGCTTGACACGCAAGAATTCACATTGAACCTGGCCATGTCTGACATTAATGCAAATACTCACCCTGGCCCCTGCAGGCTGGGGAGTCAGAAAAAAACGTAGTGTGACAAGATGGATACTGGCAGCTTTGCACTCGGGCAGAGACAGTGAATGCAGCCTGTGGGCTCTCTCCCCACCCCAAAGCCCACCATTCTATGCTGTCAAAGGATCTAGGGCCGTATGATAAGGAACAGAAAGTGACATTGTTTTGTTATTGTTTTTATCTGTCGAATCCAAAGAGACTATACATTTAAGGCAGTAAATAGGCTCAAGAAAAATAGCAGAATGAGGAGGAGGAGGAGGCTGTCCTAGGCGGTGGAGGGGCAACAGGTGTGTGTGAGATGAAGAAAAGGAACAAGATCCTCTCCACAATCTTGTCCAGGTCCAGAGTTTCTTCTAGCCCTTCTCCTCACCTCCTTGCACAAGATAAGGCTTGAGATGACGAGACTTCAGGGGCAAACTTCTAGTTCATATCCATTCCCTGCACACTTGCTGAAACAACTGCCCATGATTCTCATTGTGGTCTCCCTACTTCACAACTCCAGCCAAGCCCGGGGGAAGTCTTAGTTCATGAGGGACTAAAAAGAGCTCCTTATGAGAGGCAGGTGCAGGGCTAAGCACTCAACACACACCATCTCTTTTAGTCCTCCCTGAAACTGCATAATTATTACTATTGTTCCCACTTTACAGATGAGAAGATTGAGGCTCAAGCATCTTAAGTGAGCAGCTCAGGCCACCAGCAAGTCTGAGCTGAGATGTGAATCTAGATGTTCTGACTCCAGGCCAATGCATCTGGGCTTGTGGATTTCAGTTTCCACTTCTACAAATCCCCATCCCCACACCCGCACACACTCTAGATGAGGTATCCAAAAGCACGAAGCAGAAGTGTGTTTGAGGAGTGCACTGAAGACCTGCTCAAAGTACTGCTGAAGAAGGGAAATTTACAGGGAAATGAGATTTGCAACAAAAACGGGATGGTCCAGCTCTATTGCTAGACTCCAGCTTTTGGCGGGGAGGAAATTGAGCCATGGTATAACAAGACTGCCATGGGTAGCTTCATATTTGAGAATAAACCAAGCTCCTGGGCCCTCAGTATGAAGAATTCTGTGGGAACTTGGACTCACACCAAGCCCTAGGACACAAAGTTGCATGGTTTCTTCATGTTCTCTAATAGTGTTCTGAGTTGACCCAGAAGACAGGGATATGGTAGAAAGGACTGAAGGATTCATTGGATACCTAATTGGATATTTATCCAATTATCCAGAAATACAGTGGAGAGGATTCCAATATGAATCAACTACATTAAATTAGGTGACTTTTGAAATTTCTCCAACCCTAAGATTCCATGAGAAGAAATATGTCTTTGTATTCTTACATAACTTTGCATATCGGGGAAAAGGAAGATGAGAACAATAATAGAGGTAATCACAAGTATTTACTGAGCTCTCACTAAGTGTCTGGCATTCCTATCTCTGATTCTTAGATGCTGTAACCCAGCACCATATGGACAAAGTCAGTGGCAAGAGGTAGAACAAGGACAGCAACAAATTAATTAACTAAATAGGAATTTAATTTGAGTGGAGTCCAAGGGGAATTGTGATTCATTTTGGCAGGTTGCACAAGACTTGTCTTGCCCTTCAACAATGCAAAGAAAGCGTTCGACAAAGGAAGCTTCATGAGACTGCCCTACCATTGCCAGTGATCCTGGCAACATACACGCCCACAGGTCTGCAGAAGAAAACACAGTAGAACTACCTAAAAGATAATGATTCTGACAAGTGATCCTGACAGGAAGGGCAAGTTGGACCTTTCCTCTAAGAGCCTACAGTGATGATCAGAGCCATAACCACTATTTGTAAACACACTAACATATGCAGTTTCTCACTTCATTGAGAAACTTCATTGAGTTTACTCCACTTAATTGAATGTTATCTTAGCATCAATTTGCCCATTTTAGACTCCTTTCTAAGTGGCTCCCCAACTAGATCACAAGTTTCTTGAGGGCAAAGCCCTGGCAAATTTCTCTGCCCCTCGATAACAATCTTTGATAAGTACACAGTAGTGTACAGTAAACACCAAAAGAATGAAACAAAAAATCAGTTCTGATGTGGAATCAGCAGCCACTTCTGCCTAGGGCATCTGTATAAACCGTCCATTGCTGGGACAGCAGCTTCAATATATGGTATTTACCCTGGTCTCCCTGTCTTCTGAAAAGTCTCTTCTAGCCCAATGGATGCCTATCAGACTGCACTCTTCTTTCTGTGCTTCAGTAGGCCCTTGAAGTTCTCTTTTTTGTTGACCCTCTTGAGCCTTTAGGGGGTCCTGTTGTTTGTCAATCATTTTTCACACACTATAGTCCTATGGAACTTTGCTGTTTTAGCTATCCCAGAGATTCTCAAACTTGAGCAAGCGTAACAATCCCCAGGGCCCACACTTAGATATTCTGCTCTGGAAGAGAATCAGGAATCTACAGTTGTAATCAGCCCCACCAGGTAATTTCTGATACAGGTGGCCCAGGAATCACCCTTTAAGAAACACTGACTCTGTCAAAGGAATTATGAAAATAGGATCTTAATCTAATGATTGACTATTATGATTCCTAGGAGCTAGAATCTCGAGTGTGCTTTGTCTCTTGGGGTCCTAGAATCACTGCTACTATTCCCAGAATTAGGTTATCAACCAAAGAGATTTCTGAAAGAAAACACTAGAAACAAGCCCTGATTGAGTCAGAAAGCTGTCCATGTATATTGATACCAAACTGAGAGGGAGTGAAGCCAGAAAGCCAATGGGAAAGCAACCATTTTAAGAGAATGAGGTCAGACGACAAATGTCACGTCACAGTGAAGGGATGTCACAGTTCTTAACAGTGCAAGAGGCCAGTGAATTACCCATGTGGTTTGCTTTGACTGAAGCCATAAGTTCCTCTCTGTGGCCATGTCATCATTAACTTAAAGCAGCAATAGTCTTTGCTTGCCAGAGCTTATATGTAGTGTGAGGGAGATTCTTAAGCAAAATTGTGAAATAATTTAGGGTGATCTCCTGCACATTTCCCTTTCTCAGTTATCTTTATTCCTATTTTGTTGTACAAGCTTCCACTTATCCACTTAACAAGGTATTTGAGGGCCTCAGATTTTCTTTCCTCTCCTCCACCTGAACCTACTTTCCAAAAAGCATGTGTACAGTTAAGGCTAAAGAATTTATACAGCTAAAAACATTATGTCTCCCACAATTACTTATATCTTCATATGAATACATTATATTTATTTATGCCTAGTTACGTAATTGCAAATTGTCAGCCAATCATGGGGAATATATTTTTTCAAGCAATGGGAATTTATAGTACTTCTTGGCACAGATATAAGACTGTCTCGTTGCACAAATTTCACAAGACAATTGAACCATCAAGGCCTAGAAGTCATTCACAGAGAAGCCATGGACAAGGTCGGTTGCATGATTTATTCTGTAGGTATCCTCTCCCCTTAGTTCCCATAGTACCCAAGTTTGCATTTATCTAGTATTTTTCACACCATTTGTGCTGATCATTTATGTTTCTGTTTCTCCCCTTCCCCCACCAGACTCCGTCTCCCAGGTTCAAGTGACTCTCATGCCTCAGCCTCCCAAGTAGCTGGGATTACAGGCATAAACCACCACACTGGACAAATTTTTGCTTTTTTGGTTTTTTTTTTTTTTTGAGATAGAGTTTCTACTGCCCAGGCTGGAGTGCAGTGGCACAATCTCGGCTCACTTCAACCTCCACCTCCCCAGTTCAAGTGACTCTCATGCCTCAGCCTCCCAAGTAGCTGGGATTACAGGCATAAACCACCACGCTGGACTAATTTTTGTATGTTTAGTAGAGATAGGGTTTCACCATGTTGGCCAGGCTGGTCTCAAACTCCTGGCCTCAAGTGACCCACCAACCCCGGCCTCCCAAAGAGCTGAGATTACAGGTATGAGACGCTGTGCCTGGCCAGAAACCAAGTCTTTCTTAATCATCACCATTCGGGTACATAACTAGTACTCAAAAAGATACATGCTGAAAAATTGAACTCAAGTGACACATATATAAGATCCAAGAAAGAAAAAGAAAGGAAATTTACCTTCCCTGCCTCTATAATTCAGATTACCTTACCCACCCACCTCCAACAATATCTCATGGCATGAGCAAATGAGTGGTAACCATGGTTATGTAAGAAAAATGAAAAGGAAGGGGAAAGAACTAAAATGATATAGACATACTAAAAATTTAGAATAATTTGCCTCTAATAGGTATAAAAATTTGTAACATTGAGGTTACATAGTTGTTGAGTTTTTTTTACCTTTTCATATTTTTTAAAAATGTACGCTAGTTACCATGATAAATTGGTAACTATGGAGTTAATAATAAAGTGATGAAAAGGCTGTGGCATGGCTTTTTGCAGAGACTGCATTATTGCACACCCATCTTTGACAAGGCAATTTCCCCACAATAACTGTAGTCTCACTGTATAATTATCTCAACCACTGATATTTCTCTAGAACTATAAGAAAGCCAACTGCTACGTAAACAGGCCTGCTTGTTCACTGCAGATGGACCAGTCTATCTGTAAAAGCAAGTACTCTAAAAGAACACTCCATGAATGCAAATGAGTTGGTTCTTGGTCCCTTCAGATCAATGCTTTTCTTAATCCAAGCTTTGATTTCTTGTTGCTCCTTTGGTTTAAATCAGATAATGTAAGGATTGGAACTAAAGTAAAATAATAAAAATCATAAGTATTTTATTATTATGTTACTTGTGGTGTTATCATTTTGTCAGAGCTATGAAACTACCTTCATTTTAAGTCATGTGTTCTACAGTTTACCCCTCAGATAGGGCTTAAACTATTAGTATAGATAGAGAAGGAATATAAAGGGTTGCTGTGGTTTGGATGTAGTATGCCCCTGCCGAAACTCACGTTGAAATTTGATTCCTAAATGTAGCAGCATTGGGAGGTAGGGCCTAGTGGGAGGTGAGTCATAGGGGCAGATTTCTCATGAATAAATTAATGTCATCTCACAGGAATGAGTTTTCACTCTCACGGAACTAGATTGGTTACCACAAGAGCAGGTTGTTCCTCCTCGTGTTTGCTTTATTTATACACCCACTCACCTTTCCATGTCTCTACCATGTCTTGACACAGTACGTGGCCCTCACCAGATGCTGAGCAAATGCCAGTGCCATGATCTTGGACTTTCCAGTCATCAGAATTGTGAGCTTAAAAACAAAAACAAAAACAAAAACAAAAACAAAAACAAACCCTTTTCTTCATAAATTACCCAGCCTCTTGTATTCTGTTATAGCATCACGAAATAGACTAAAACAGGAGTAAAGGATATATATGTAGATGATGTTTTTCTCTCTTTGACTGATGTAGAAATTTACTAGATCCATATGAGACTAGAGTATATATATACATATATGTGTATATATATGTATGTATCTATATATGTACATATAGAGAGTATATGTACACATATATGTATATATATACTCTAAATTAAATAGATATACTTATATAACATTTATAGTATCTACATGCTATAAAATGCATCCATTTTAAGTGTACAATTCAATTACTTTTAATAAATTTACAGAGTTCTGCAACCATTACCAAAATCCAGTTTGAGAACATTAGATTCCTCTGAAAAGCTCCCTCATGTTCATTTGCAGTCACCACCCTGCTGTTTCTACTCCCAGTGGCAGGCAAACACTAATCTGCTTTCTGTCTCTGTAGGTTTGCCTTTCTGGACATATCATCTATGGAATGTTCATTGAATCATACAATATGTGCTCTTTTGCATATGGCTTTTTTCACTTAAAATTTATCCATGTTGTAACAGGCATCAGTTACCTATACTTTTTGTTGTTGCTAAATAGTATTCAATTATAGTTATATATCATTTTTTAATCCATTAGCAAGTTGGTGGGTATTTAGATTATTTCCCACTTTTGTCAATGGTGAATAATGCTGCCATGAACATTTGCATACAAATCTTTGTGTAGATACATGCTTTCATCTCTCTTGGGTAGATTCCTAGCAATGGAATTGCTGGGTCACATAGTAAATTTAAATTTTTGAAAAACTGACAAACTGTTTTCCAAAGCAGTTCCCCCATTTTAAATTCACACCAGCAATACATGAAAATTTCAGTTTCTCCATATCCTCACCAACACTTGTTATTGTCTTTTTTATTATAGCCATTCTAGTGGATGTGAAATGATATCCCACTGAAATTTAATTTGCATTTCCCTAATGGCTAAAGATTTTGAACATCTTTTCATGTGCTTATTAGCAATTCTTGTATCTTCTTTTGTTCATTGGTTTTTGTTTGGTTGGTTGTTTGTTTGTTTGTTTGTTTTTATTTTTTTGAGATGCAGTTTTGCTCTTGTTGCCCAGGCTGGAGTACAATGGCACGATCTCAGGTCACTGCAACCTCCACCTCCCAGGTTCAAGCAATTCTTCTGCCTCAGCCTCCCTTGTAGCTGGGATTACAGGCGCCCGCAACCACGACCAGCTAATTTTTTGTATTTTTATCGAGACAAGGTTTCACTATGTTGGCCAGGCTGGTCTCGAACTCCTGACCTCAGGCGATCCACCTGCCTCAGCCTCCCAAAGTGTTGGGATTACCGGCGTGAGCCACTGCACCTGACTCATTGGCTTTTTTAACATAAAGTTTTTAACATTGAATTTTAGAAGTACAAAAATATTTTATAATTGTATGGCCTAACCGCTTTATCTTAGAAGTAAGAGAAATAAAGACTAGAGATACAAACAATTTTGCTCAAGGCACAAGAGCAAACTGATGGTAAATTGGCATTTTAATTTCCTAACTCTGAATTGAGTTAAATTCAAACTCACTTCCCTGGCAGTAATTAACTTATTCTCTAATATAGTTATTAGTGAAAAGAAACTAATGAAAAGCCAAAAATTGTAGATTCCTTGGGAACAAGAATCATGTGTTCCTCATCTCTGTGACCGTCTTTGCACCTACCATAGTCCCTTATCCATTGTCAGCACTTAAGGAATGTCTGCTTAAATGAAAAGACATCAATGAAGCCTCAGTCCAGTCAGAATTATGTAACAGTCAAGTGCAATGATAGTCCTTGACTATATCGAGTATACTCTGGGTTTCATATCATTATATAGCCTTCAAAAAATTGTTTTAATTACTGTGGACACCAACCATCATAAACCTACTAACTCAAAGTGGTAAATCCTTCGAGCATCTACCTCAGCATTATCCAGCATGTATTCCGAATACAGATGCCCAGGTCTTACTCCAGACTAACCGAATCTAAATCCTTGAAGGTGAGACCTGGGAGTCTACATTTTTCAAATACCTCCAGAAACACTTATGCACAAAAAGAAGAAAAAAATGAAAGCCACTGATATAACAGATGCTGTGCAGCACATCATAGGATTATTTACTTGAAAGCATTAGGTAGAAAAAGGACTGGTAATTTAGAAGGGATTCTAATCATGGAAAACTAAAAGAATGTCCCAATTGTTGAACTACCTCATGAACTACCAATGGTATACACAACTTTCCAGGAAGCCTTTAATAAGTTGGGATCAATAATCCATATTGACTTTACAAAACCATTAAGGGACAAAACACTCCTTGATTGTCATGGACATCATTACAAAAGGCATTGATGGGCTCTCTGCTCCATCTCACGGTGCTGCCAACACCAAACTCTGCTCTAGTTATTTGGAACATAAGATTGTATAGGTAACATCCATCTTGATAACATGCCTGCATTTGCTTGAATTGGATTTAAAAACCTGCACCACAACCATATCTAAGCAGTCACTGTTGGAATGTATCACCTCCAGCAAACAATTAGGCATAAAAGAAAAGTGTAAATGATTAAGAATGAACTAAAGCACATGCTCAGAGAAGATGGATAAACAATTGGGAGGCCGAGGCGGGCGGATCACGAGGTCAGGAGATCGAGACCACCCCGGCTAAAATGGTGAAACCCCGTCTCTACTAAAAATACAAAAAATTAGCCGGGCGTAGTGGCGGGCGCCTGTAGTCCCAGCTACTTGGGAGGCTGAGGCAGGAGAATGGCGTGAACCCGGGAGGCGGAGCTTGCAGTGAGCCGAGATCCCGCCACTGCACTCCAGCCTGGGCGACAGAGCGAGACTCCGTCTCAAAAAAAAAAAAAAAAAAAAAAAAAAAAAACAAGACCAGGTGAATTTCTGCTTCTCAGCTTGCCACTTCTCATCCAATCACTGTCATCAGTATCATTAATGGGGCATTATGTGAATGTCAATTGACCATTTGTATAGACTTGCTCAAACTAGAACTTCCTCTACTCGTTTTCATGGCTGGTACCACAACTAAAATAAGTGCCCCCGTGCCCAACCTTGCAATCCACTCCTCTTCGTGTTACACCTTCTTCAAGTATGTAGTAGATTGTGTTTTCCAAAGATAGACACTAAAATATCTCCCATCCCACCTGCTGCTCCACAGTGTGACCTTGCCACCTCCCCTCACCCCCCATTTAAGGGTGCAGTCTATTTTTCAACCCCTTCTTGAATTTAGGTGAACTCTGAGACTAATTACATGAGAAGTGACATCGTACCACTGTCAGAATCATCCTTAACTATTTTGACAACTTTTGCTTTGTGACTTTTGGAAGCCAGACATCATGTAAAAAGTATGATCACCCTGAGCAACAATTTTTTGGGAAATCCAAGCCACCTGGAGAGGCCCTAGAAGATGAGACCGCAAGAAAAAGAGGCCAACACTGCCAAGACACTGGATGTGTCAGTGTGGTAGACATCTTGGAGGTAGATCCTACTCATCTACCATCCCAGCTGATGCTGTGATTGGAGCTCATCACCCAACCAAACCCTCTCCACATTCCTGACCTACAAAATCAAAGATCGAGAGAAAACAGTTGTTTTAACGCACTAAATTGGGGATGGCTTATTATATAAGAATAGATAACTGAAACAAAACATTGAATAGTGCTTTAACCTATTTACCTTATGTATTTGTTTACTTACTTGTCTGTCTGAATGTAAGCTTCATCAGGCCACAGCCTTTTCTGTCTTCTTCTCCACTGTGTATGCAGTTCCTGGAATAAAGTAAGTGTTCAATAAATATCTGTTAAATTATTATTGAATGCATTTTTGTCACTGGAGAGTCTACAAGCAAGCAATAATGTACTGTGGTTGATACCAGTACATTGTGGTACTGTATATTATACCAGTTCTTCTTTTATTTTTATTGGAGGCATTCATCTTTGTGAGGAAATACATGTCATGAAAAGTCCAGAAAACATAGGGACGAATGTCATATTATCACACTGATTAACCCATTTATGCCAGAGGTTGCAAATTTTTTGTCTGAAAAATCAGACCTTGGTGATGACCTTTAGCAGCAGGATATAAATAACTCCACAAGCTTAGCGTTCCAATAATGGAACACTAGGCAAATGGATTAACTGCAATTTTCAAAAGCAGACCACGAGACACATTTCATCTAGGGCCACCAATATTTCATTTTTAGTATAACTCCTGAGCTCCCACCAGGGTCACAAAGTAAAGAAATCAATATTTTCTCCCTGATCAGAGCAATAGCTGATACAGGGCCATACAAAAGGAATGAACTTAAGATATTACTTGGAGAGGGAGTATGGCTTTCAAGGATAAGGAAGAATATGCTGTATCAGAAATGCCAGTAAGAGCTTGGGTTCACAGTTTTATACGTTTTCAAGGTCCTCAAAGTTCTTCACTAAGGATTTGATTATCCCTGCATAGTATTGAATATAATTTTCCTCACTGAAAGACTGATATCAAAGTCTATTCATCTCCTCCTTAATGCACAACAAAACCTTGAGAATTCCAGCAGTTTTATATCTGCTAACACATTAAGTGCTTATAAACTTGCAATTGGAGCCCTTCCTAGAAAGCATATTTATAAACCAAATATATGTTTTTGAAAACGATTTCTCTGCTTCTATAAGTAACATAATAGTAATAGACATATAGTTTCTCCACTTATTTTGTTTGTCCACAAAATAACTTAGAACATTAAGCAGCAAGGGTACCCTCACCTTACCAAAGAAGCTAAGTCTGTTTCCTCCAAAATGTCAGAAGTTCATTTTCCCTAGCTCAGGGTAGCGAGCAATTACAAACCTACGCTGTTCCATGCTCTGCACAGATGTCGTTGGTAGATGAATGCGCATGTCTTATATAGAGCCATTAGCCCTAGAAAAAAAGATAGATAATGGCAATGAGAATGTTAGTAAGCCTTTGTTTGCTCTTCCTTGTTTTATTTGAGGTTTTCTTCATGCTTTTCCCTTTTCTTACAGACCATTGTAAATGCATTTGCCATTTGGTGATTTTGTCAAGGATTTTTCAGATTTTCTTTATATAGATGCTATTCATCTAGTCTCATAAGTGTCTGTGAAACTGACATTCTCATATAAGATTTGGTCTCTAAAGTTGTACAGGATGACCACAAATAGAAATGGACATTAACATGTTAAAATTTCCTGCTTCAATATTTTATCTGTATTCATTAATTTATTTACCTCAAAGTCTCAGTTTCAAAACACACCATCCTTAATGCAGGGTGCAAACCATTATACATGTTAAATGAGTCAAATTGCACCCTCTGCCAATATCAGCATGATACCCATCCTCCCATTACACCCACCATCACTAACACTCACAGCCTAAACAATCACTCTTGGTTCCCCAGCTGGGGCTTGCAAAGAGAGATTCTTGCTGCTGGCTCTTGTATAAAATGAAACTATTAAGGAGTAAAGTACCTGAGATGCTTCTAATTGCAGAAAGATGGCTGGGTTGTTTGTAAGAGAGTCTGATGCTCATGTTGACCACAGTTTTAAAAAGTACAGTCACGTACCACGTAACAATTCCATCAGTGATGGATTGCATATAAAACAGTGGTTTCAGAAGATTATAACGGAGCATACATAGAAACCTGATATGTGGTACTTCATATTGGCATTTCAGGTCAAGTAGGGGAAATGATTGATATTCAATAATGGTGCTGGCATATTTGGTTTTCACATGAAAAATATATATACCATTTAGGTTGGTAAGTACACTCTATGAGGTTCACACAACAATGAAATTGCCTAACACTTTTCTCAGAAGATATCCCTGTCACTAAGCAACACAGAAGTGTACTCTTTTTCCCCCTTAAAGTAATATCATGACACGATGGTTACTGAATTAGTCTGCTCAGGCTATAGTAACAAAATGCCATGGACTGGATGACTCAAACAAAAGGAATTTGTTTCTCATAGGTCTGGAGGGGAGAAAGTCCAAGATCAATGTACTGGCTGATTCAGTGCCAGGTAAAGGCTCTCTTCCTGACCTGTAGACAGCCACTTTCTCATTGTGTCCTCACATGGCAGAGACAGACAGAGAACAAGCTTTCTGGTGTCTCTTTATAAGAACATGATCCTATCACTAAGGCCTAACCACATGACCTTGTCTAAACCTAGTTACCCCCAAAGGGTAACCCATCTCTAAATACCATCACATTGACAGTTTGGATGTCAACCTATGAATGGAGAGTAAGGGGAGACAATAACTTGGTCCATGCCAGTAATTAAGACCATGATGAAAATTCAGGAACAAAGCAAGGCTAAGAGACCATTAGAGGAAACAGTCACAATAGTGTTCTCATATTTTGTAATAGCTCCTGTGCCCAACTATATAAGATCTGTCTACAGACTTATTCTCCTTGAAAGCAAAATGTAATATCTATGTTTCTATAAAATAGGAGACCAGTTTTCAGCTTGTATCTGAAAGTTTAAAAAGTTCTACCAAAATGAGCAAAGTTTAATTCCCTCTTACCCTGCCACCAAGGGACCAAATAAGAGAGGCAGCCAACCAGGTAAACAGCGTACTCTGACTAAAGACGCAGAAAGCTACAAAGCTGTAGGAAAGAAAAAGAAGTCACGTCCAGGGCAACTTAACCAGCAACAGAGATTTCACAGAAGCCCTTACTCATAAGCAGAGACTCTTGACTTCAGAACACATCTGCATTTTAAACACAGAAGAGAAAAACATTAATACATTGTGGGAGACAAGAATATGCCACCCCAAAATATGAAGGATTGTTAAGTTGAATTAAGAACAAGCAGATGCAGTACAGCTCTCTGCCCTACCTCTATTTGCCAAAAAGCAGGAAGCAGATTTACAAAGATAAAAGGTATCCTGACCCCCTTCTCTACCAGGGAGAGAAAAAAATTAACCACTGAAGACAGCTTTGGACACATGTCAGCCTGGAGATGGGATGACAGGAATCTACATTAACAAGCTTTACTAACTCACCTTTATCTGCCTGCCCACCATTGGCTGCTGCTGGAGATTCAAAGTCCTGTCTTTTGTCTTGTCATTTCTCTAAAATGTCACTGTTCTTTGTTGATGATACATATAATCTGGAATTCAAAGCCACTTCTTTAAGACTATTCATCTCCTGGGTGTTTCCCATGTATTTATAAAATATATATGTTAATAAATTTTTGTTTGTTTTTCTCTTATTAATCTGCCTATTGCTACAGGGCTCCATTTCAACAAAGAACTTATGAAAGTTGAAGAAAATTTTTTTTTCCTAGAACCTCAGAGTAGGATCCATAGAACCTAAAAACTTAAGAAAATTAGACTGGTTTAGAACAGAAATTATTCCCTTAACTATACCTGATTACATATGTTTACCAACTTCTACTAATGGGGCATCAGAAATTAATATCACACTTCCAATTTTTATCGACATTTATGTAGTATAATAACATAATTTTCATTCCATAAAATGGCTTAATTCTCAGTCAATCCCTTGTATAATTTTCATAAAGTCATGAAGTTTTAAAACCCTCTAGATATTAAATACCCAAGCTGAGAAGGTTAAGCAAGTGATATGTTTTAGAACTTCTGTACTCACAAAGATTATTTGTATCTCCCAAGAACTTGGTACCTCTCATTTGCAATGCTGAAATTAGTTTATGAGTCATTGGTGCTAGCTTAGTTCACATAAATCTATACAAGAATGAAGATCATAGATTGCAAATTATTGTCTACTTCCCCTCAATGTACAAATCCAACTGAAACATTATCTACCCATCAGATGCAAAAAGAGACAGATGCCACCTAGTGTCTGATAGCCTCAAGTGCATCCCAATTCTACTCGAGTCTAGTTCCATTTTGGGATTATCCAGATATAGCTACGTCAAAAGTTACTGTAATATGTTGTATGCAAAGAACACTCAACACATTCTGGTGCTAGTTTTTCTATTAACTATATGTATCATGTTGGGCAAGACCCCCATGTGTCTTGAATTAGTTGCTTTCCATGACCTCTTAGAAGTAATAGACTCTGATTTCAGTTCTGACTAATGCAAAGCCACCTGTGGAAATCTAATCTTTTTACATTGAAATCTTGATGTAGAGCAGAACCAAATTCCAGAAAAGCAAACAACATTTTCCAGGGCTAACCTGTGATGTACATTGACTTCACTCTGTAAAGGAGATGTACATTGACTTCACTCTGTAAAGGAGCATGTTTTCTGTATAAACGCAGTACAAACATGAACTTGAGACACAAGTGCACATTACATCACTCCAAGCAATGATTTATCATCAGGTATAGCAAGGAAAAAACGAAATAAAGTCAAGGTGACCAAAACTCTTGGTTTTCAAAAGACCTCTAACAATTCACTATATAAAGTATGATAGCTGCTCAGACTTTGTCTTATAGTTTAAAATACTTAAGAAAAATGTTCTTCAGTTTTATGTATTAACAGGTTCTGTAAAATTTCTTTTTAACTAGATCACATAACAAAATCTTTCCCAAAAGAAAAATGAATGGAAAATACAGCAAAATATGGCAACTGCTAAATCTTGTTTCTTACCCCTTTAATTCTTTGTATCATGTTCTATTCTCAAATGAGTTTAGTAATCTAGAAGGTAGTCAGGCCTGTGTCCAGTGGTTTATAAAGACAGATGACAGTGTCATACACAGGAAATCTGTCCATGTTCTAAGAGATCTGCAATTGATCTGGCCTGCTTGGTGAAGGTATTTCTAATCTACTACTTAGTCTATAAAATTCAGGTGAATAGTATATGGGACTCTGACCTTCAGAAGTACGAACACAGATTCATTCCATGTGTACTAACTCTATAAAATGTGACAAATCATTTCCATTAACAATGTGGAAAGTCTGTCCACAAACCCATAGAGGACACTTGGTGTTTTGTGCATCTTTTTTCCCTTACAGTGCTTTTCAGTCTGGAAGTCATTCCTACTAACTTGAAAAATCTCAAGACAAGTCCTTCAGCCTGACCACAAGCCAAGCTTATCTTGATGTAGGTTGAGCTTCTCTGCCTGCCAGTTTCATCCCACATGTCAATTACAAAAAGCTGCTTATTATGTTTTTTCCATCCTTATCTGTCTAATGTGGAGGACAATCTCTTCAGGCAACCAAAGCAGATTCTGTCATCTCTGAAGGCTTAAGAGCTGCTAAGCAGTTACCTCTCCTTGTCTCCTGGCTCTGAATTTTCCTGGTGTCAATCATCAGCTCTTCTCCAAGAGCATGCTTCAGATCCAGCTCTTCCATGTCATTCCACCCTTAATCCCATCTAGGATCAATTATGTCTCTAAAAATGAGAGATGAAAACATCTCTTTGAACTGGTTTAGATACCAAATGGACTTGATGGCAGAGGGGCCATTGTTCCTGATAGGGCACCTTTCTTCAATTTTCTGTGACTCTCCCTGAAGGCCAGTGTCTGTGAACTCCAACAGACTTGTGAGTTCTTTGTTGAGTGCCAACTGTACACTGTACTCTATACAATAAATCTCTGTGTTTCCTAAAAGCCAATTATTAGATCACTCTTCAGTGATCTAAAGCTGAGTAATCTTTAGTTTTTCCTTCAAGTTAAATAGCCCAAGTATTTTACATTCGTTTTCCCCTGCCTGTTCTATTTTCCTCTAGTTCCCTTTAGGTCTTCTTATATCTTGTCAATGAACAGTGCACGTCCTGCAAACAAATACACTGGGGCACAAACTGAAAATAAGATTAATTTGTCACTTCCAAATATTTTGTTTCTGCATAGCAACAGCATCATCCTTACTTCATGAGCCACAGCAGAAATGTGCCAACACCTGGTAAGTTTTTTATTTCTTTCATGTGGTGCTTAGTCATTGCCCTTTCTATCTTTGTATTTGGGCTTTTGGTCCCACTACATATTGGAAATGTCACTCTTATTTTCTTGGCTTCCTTGACAATATATACAAGGAGTGGGTGGCCTCTTACCTGACCTGGGATATTATAAAGGACATAGGGTGGCATCGGTAACCCTTTCAGATGTTCTCATTTATGATTACATGACTTGAATAATCTATAAGATGATTTTGTTGGAAAGACTTAGGGGGTGATACTGTAATTCTTACATGTAGAGCACTTTGAAGGGCTTTCACGTATATAACCCATTTCATTCTCACAGCCTTACTTTGATGTAGGCTGAGCAAGGCAACATATTATTGTCCACTTTTTACAAATGCAAAAACTGAGGCTTAGAGCAATCGATGACGTGCCTATTGTCACATTACTAGTAGAAATGCCAGTCAAAATAAAAATCCAGGTTTTCTGATTGTCTATCCAAGAGTAACTTTTCTACTCCGGGGTTTTCATTCTTCCGTAAGAGCTGTAAGGACTTCTGAGAGCCACTCAGGGACCTGCCACAAAGAAGGAGGCCGCATGGCCAGGGCTTTATGCCCCAGCCCCTGCTTCAATCAGGGCAGGTTGACATGTATCTATTTTATCAATTGGGTTTCTGTTTAATCTTTACTGTATAAGATTTCTGCTTAAAAACATACGCATTGTTTGACTACTCAGCACCATGCTAAAAAGAACATCAAGGGAGTAGAAGCCATGAAGGACGGGTGGGTCCAAAGAAGAATAAATAAGCTAAGACACGAGTGAATTGAGGATCACCAAATATATAGTCAGCTCCAGGTGGCATCTCTGTCTAACAGCAGATCTGCACATGGGTAGAGGTTAACCCCTCAGAGCATAGTAAAAGGGCAGCAGACATTGTTTTTACTCTTAATAAACACGAAATCTGTAGAGAAAATGGAACGGCTCTAAAGAAAAATACACAGACACATACAACTCAATTACATTAACACCTGCATAACAATAATAGTTCAGCAATCCCTAGCGTTGACTGCCGCAGCCAACAAAAAACCTCATGCCCCTTGCTCACTCTGCCCTCGTTCTCCCTTGCTGAGCCCTTATTCATGTCCAAGGCCCAAACTTCTCATAAATCCTTATCTTTTCTTAGAAAAAAAGGAAGAAAACACCCTGAAAAACAAAGCCTCAAGGAAGTAAGTGCATGCTGCCTCTCCTAAGGGATGTAGCATTTTAAAAAGAGGACTCTACCAAGGGAAAGGCTAAGGTTGAATGGAAAAATATGAATTGTTAATGGTCCAGTCAAACTTTCATGAAGGACGTAATTCATTGATTCATTTATTTTTATTTTTTTAGAGACAGAGTATTGTTCTGTTGCCCAGGCTGGAGTGCAATGGCACCATCATACCTCACTACAGACTCAAACTCCTGGCCTCAAGCGACGCAAGGAGGTAATTTAGAATAGGAGCTCTCCCTGGGATGTTTCATGTCTGTCCACAAAGACACACAAACATCCCTTGGCATATGACCATCCCATCTGGGAGCCCAGGCAAATCTATGGTGAAGCAAATGGAGCATAAGCCTTAGAGCCACTTAACGCCCCAGACTTCCAGCCACAGCCCTGGAAGAGGCGCTGCAATGTGTTTTTGCCAAATTGGCACAACAGTGAGGTTGTTTGTTTGTTTGTTTGTTTTTAGCTGTAATTGTTTAAGCTACTGGATCTTCCCATTCTGACTTCTCCATCACACTTCTGTCTGTCATGTCAGGCAGCATTAGAGTGGCTACAGGCATCATTGGAATCCTGCTAAGAAGTTGAGTTAAGGTATATTTAATTTGGTTCAGAGGATATATTTATGTGGCTTACAGCTGTTTCTTTATATAATTAAATTATTCCTCGCTGTCTGTCCCATTGTGGGAATGACTTCCAGAAATATTTGTATTATCAACTACACCATACTATGAAGGACCAGTACAGAGGTCATATTGCAATACATTTGTCTCGTACAGCACCCAGCTCTAGAAGTATGTGGGCAATAGAGAAGAAACATGTTTTTAATTGTATAGAACCAAAAGCTAGACTATGGAGAATTCTTCAAACCACCAGATGGGTAAAAGTCTAAGTAGAGGATTCATTTATCATTCTTATCAAAACAGAAGTTCTCACCTATTGGGGAAGACTCACTAATGCAGTGTATATGGTTACAAATAAACTATGTTTTTTTCTGGAAATTATGTAAAACTGAATTTTTCAAAACTCCTGCGTTTATTTTATTATTTTATTTTTGAGGCAGGGTCCCGCTCTGTCCCCTAGGCTGGAGTGCAGTGGGGCAATCATACCTCACTGCAACTTCCAACTGCTGGGCCCAAGCGACACTCCCTGCTTGGCCTCCCAAAGTGCTTAGATTACAGGCATGAGCTGCTGCACCCAGCCCTAGAGTCCTGTGTTTAAAGGGCGACAGTGCTGCATGGTCGTGCATTTGCATGTGGTCAAGCTTAGGCACCCCAACTATTGAAAATAAGAAACAAATTTCAGTCAACCATATTAGATGAAACACTGAATTGTCTTCATATTCTTTCAGTAGAAAATAATATTACAAAATAATTTCACATAAAAAAGCAATACAAAACTAAACAGCCAAAAATATAAAGAAAGGGTATTCTAAAGATGTGTCAGACAGTTATAATTTAAAATATCATGGCATTTTTCAGATATAATGATACTTGTAGTATTTGTCAATTTTATAAAATTTATAATTTGTTTAATTTCTCTTCTCATTCCAAATAAATACCATCTTTGGTCCTTGTTATATATTTTTAATCTTCTATTATTTTTCTTTAAAAGGATTCCAAAATTGAATAAACTTCTGGCCTACAAATCTTGGATTTGCTTTTGCTGAGAGTGACATTTGAGGTGAATTATGCTTGGAAGATTTTGTCCTCACAGCTACCCAATGTAAACTTCTTAAACTCAGTAAAGATCAAATGTGATTATTTCCTTTCCTGTCCAAATTTTCTATCTGCTTGTGAATTCTCTTTCAGCACATCACTTAAAGCAAAACTGAAGGATTCTTCATAATTTTTAGTACTGTCTTCATCTTCTAGAAAAAGATGAATCATGGTTATAATTTTTATTTTTACCACTGCCCTTTGTTCAGCCCCACAAATGATTCAAAAAGCATAATCATTCTTGCAAAAAAAAAATTCAGAATCATTGCCACATGAAAATGATTCATTCTTTCCCAAAAAAGAAAAAACAATGCATTATTAACAATAAAAGCTTTGCAAGCATAAAAGTTGTGAATCCAGTTCTCCAAAATCTATTTCACAAGACTATTCATGCCTTTCATTTAAGGAAGCAATACTCATATATTTTAAGTTTGCACATGCGTATAATTTACTAAATTTAAATCAAATATAATATAATGTATCTACAACACAGTGCCTAAGTATGAAAGTAGGTATTTTAATATAATTGCCCATTTATATTAAAAGCCTCTTATAAAAATCTTTTCCCCTCCTGAAATATCTTTTTTCCCAATGAGAATAATAGTCATAATTACAGAGTAGTAACACATGACAGATAATGTTCCAATTTTAGAAAATTAGTTCTTTCTTAGCCTTGCAATGGAACCCCTTTTATCTAACTTTGGTATCGGTGTCATATGGAATAAGGGTATTATTTGGCTTTTCAGGGTAAAGAGACACCTAGTAAGGAACTCACTAAGACAAAATTCTTATATTAACTAACACTGACAACATTCAAAGAAAACCAAGATAATCGAAAAGAATGGTTTTGTTCAACCTGAAACAGTTGTTTAAAATTACATTTAAAGCCATTTTTTAAGTTAAAATCCAGTTTAATAGTCTCAGCACATTGATTTTTTCTTCTGGTAAACCTGAATGTCCAGGGAGCCATTTCCAAATGGGTCTTGACATTGTGGAAGTCTAGTACTATATCCACTCTGCTCAACTTATGCTTTAAAATTTAGTCTTCAACTCCCCAAGCCAGAATATCTGTAATATTAAAATAGTCAATAATAATAACATAGTGAAGAGTACTGGCCAATGTGTCTATGTCCAAGCCTACCACTGCCTAACCACAATGTGCTTGTCTGTAAAGTGGGAAGTAGGAGGATGGGTTAAACAAGGTTTTTTTGTTTTGTTTTGTTTTGTTTTGTTTTGTTTTGTTTTGTTTGAAGACTTACTTTTTGGGTAACTCTCTAACCATGGATAAGGCCATACTCTCTTTAATTCTCACCATAACCCCTTCGTGATTATTATTTTCTCCATTTTACAAATGAGGTGAGACTCAGAGAATGGGAGGAAAATAGGTAGAAGTTTCCACTTCTTAACGACTGCCAGAGATTTTGCTGGTTATTGTACTTACTACTTAAAAATAACTCTGCCAGATCTTTACTCTTTGGTATAGGAAAGTTGGTCTCAGAAAGTCTAAGTTGCATTGCTAAGGAGTGGCAAATATAAGGCCAGGCTCAGTAGCTCACGCCTGTAATCCCAGCACTTTGGGAGGCCGAGGCAGGCGGATCACGAGGTCAGGAGATCGAGACCATCCTGGCTAACACAGTGAAACCCCGTCTCTATTAAAAACAAAAAAAATTAGCCGGGCGTGGTGGTGGGTGCCTGTAGTCCCAGCAGCTCGGGAGGCTGAGGCAGGAGAATGGCGTGAACCCGGGAGGCGGATCTTGCAGTGAGCCGAGATGGCGCCACTACACTCCAGCCTGGGCGACAGAGTGAGACTCCATCTCAAAAACAAAAACAAACAAACAAACAAAAAGCAACTATGTCTGAATCAAGGTTGCCTTGGCCACAAGCCTTGTGTTTCTTCCACATAACTGCTTCTTGGATCAGTTTTTCTCTTAGTTCTCCTCCAGTCAGATAAATGGACCAATGAAAGTGAGTGAGTTGCCTAACCTTCAAAGATACTTCAGTGTTCCCCCTAGAAGAGCTCCAATTCCACTTGTGAGGAGATGTCTCCCTGAGCATTTCCATCAACCTAAAGGCAGGTTGGAAGAAAGAAAATTACTAACAGGCTCCAACTTCAAATTCCGTGGGCCCACAGAAATTGTAGGTATCATTTTGGAACAAGAACTGTAGCATGAACTCCATTCATAAGAATCATTCATCTTTAAAAATATCACTACTGTAAGTCTGAAAGAACTGCTTTGAAACATAAAAGCCTGGATAACATGAAGGTGAATACACCTTCAAAATTAACATCAAAATGCTTAGCACTTTCACTGAATGAACTGATTCAGCCATACTAGAAATTGTATTTTTTTGTTGTTTTGTTTTGTTTTGTTTTGAGACAGATTCTTGCTCTGTTGCCCAGGCTGGAGTGTAGTGGCACCATTTTGGCTCACAGCAACTTCTGCCTCCCAGCTCAAGCAATCCTCCCACCTCAGCCTCCTGAGCAATCCTCCCTCCTCAGCCTCCTGAGCAATCCTCCCTCCTCAGCCTCTTGAGTAGCTAGAACCACAGGCTTGTGCCACTATGCCTGGCTAATTTTTTTGTACTTTTTGCAGAGACAGGGTTTTGCCATGTTGCACAGGCTGAGCTCAAGCAATCTTCCAGCCTCAGCCTTCAAAATACGGGAATTACAGGTGTGAGCCACTGCACCTGGCCAAATATGTTTCTAAATCAAGAAAAATTTCTATCAACTTTTCTAGGTAATAGTCTTCCTTTAAAAACTGAGACATACTTCTTTCCAAGGTCAAGAAGATTCAGTGGCAGAACCAGAGACCAGATGTGGACCAGACATCTGCCTCACCCACAGTGTAGACCAGATATCTGAGCAAGCCAAAGAAAGAACTAAGGGCTGGTACACAGCTGATTGGCTGTGAAGAAGAACAAGATTAAATCCCACTCTCAACAGTTTGCTAAAATATGACCACAGTTTGAAAATTAGTCAGAAGGGCCATTAAAAAGGAACTCACAGGTATCTTTTTGGCCCCAAAAATAAAAATAAAGGCTAAGCCAAAAAGAATATTTGAGATATAAGCAATTTAGGGAGAGAATTGTTGCACCAGCCCTAGTACAAATGCACAAGCAAAAAAGTTGAATGTTTTATTTATAATCAAAACACAGGGATTTATCAAAAACAGACACTTTTTTGGATACTGAGATTCATTTGAATAATTAAATATCCCCTCCTCTTCGAGAGCAGAGAGTAACTGCTGTTTCACTACAGCATGAAATGTAATGTAAGAAGGACTTAATTATGAGGTGAACATCATTTATCCCAAATGAATCTGCAATAGGGGAATACACATCAAATTTTGTCACATATCACTATCTCATGGACTGTAGGCAAATTTCTGAAATATTAATTTGCCCTTAACCACATGAATGAATCAGCATATTGAGAGCCCTGTCCTAAGATGGAAAAATAAAATTCTACATATCTTTTGCCTGTTTGATTATAATATCTTACTAGCAGCACCTGCCACAGCATCTGTTCTCTGACAATAATTTAAAAAATACCCAGGTTTGCTCTTTGTATTTTTCCTGTTAGTTTCAGCTGCTTCCTGAGCCATAAAGCCTGAGATAAATCAGTTTAAAAGATAAGCTTGAGATGCTAAAAAAGAAGGGAAAGGAACCAATGAGATAGTGAAGAAAAGAGATACAAAGGACAAAGCAAGCAATCAAAAGCTGAATCCAAGAGGAAACGAGAGTCTGGGGAGCCTTTCATCTCTAGATAACCAATTCCGATCTGTTGCTGATATGTCCCCACTATGTTGTTGCTGGAAATTGCTACCATCTGACAAACACCTAGTGGATGCTAAAATTCTGTTTTCAGATGTACTTTTGGGCAAATCTGAACCAATCTTCCCCCTTTACCTTCACCACACAGTGATCTTTTCCCAAATCTCCTTAACAGATCTGATTTGTGGATTCAAGGGAAAACTGCTGCAGATACAATGCATAACCACCCTCACCATATAGGAAATGTATTCTTCCCTCCAGAGAGCTGTTATATTCTATTATAACCACCTTCCTCCCCTAAGAATTGTATTGGAAATGTCTGTCTCTTTGACAAAGGCATGCCATGTGGATTACCTTTTACTGCTCTTCTGACTCATATTAATTTCTATTCCTAAAATGGGGTGCATTTTATATGCTCCTTCATGCTGGTGTGGAAAGGAATACCACATTGTAGAATCTAAAGAAAGACTTGAGGTACTAAAATCTTCCAGTCTATTCCTTTACCTAAAAAAAATTATAAGATTTTCCTTAGAGATAGCCATAATCTCCAACCCTGTTAGATAAATAAATTGTGACACCCAAGGAAAGTGGAGGGGAGGATTTTGTGATAATCAGAGGAAGGGAAACGTGGTAATATTTAAGCAGAGTGTTTCCATTGGCATTAGCAAGCTTCTGCTTGAAAGACTATTCTGAATGAGTCATAATTTTTCTCCAACAAAATGGTAAGGCCTAGCAGTTGTCTTTCTCTAATAGGTTATATTACAGGAGTATCTGTCTATTATGGAAACTGACTTCTTCAATACTCACCAATAGACATGGAATGCCACTAGATAACTGAAATCAGTGAACTACTCCAGAACCCACAGCAGCCCCAGGGTTTCATAGCCCTGGGGATTCCAGGACTGAACTTCACTGGACCCCAAGCACTCTACTACTCAGCATGTCATTGACACTTGAGTGGCTCTTCAGCTCTCCCAGGTTCGCTCAGGGGGTGAGTTTACCCTTCTTATAAATCCAAGAACACGCATTCAATTTTGTCCTCAGTCAACTGATTTTGCCCTCTTGTAAGATTGTAAACTGACCTCTTAACACACAGCCTGCATGCAGTTAGCCAGTCCAGGTCCAGGTGAGGATGGACATCAGGCCCAACTCATCACCTCTGTGAGGAAGCCAATGAAGACCCTAAGGGGTATCAGTTTGCATTTTGCTTGTAAGAACGAGGACTCTGTATTTTTCTCGTACTCTCAATGAACAAAGGCCTTATTCAGGACATGGAAACAAAAAGTAATGTCATCCAACAGGGCTAACAAAGTTAGGTATTACATGTGTATTGAGAAAAGCCTGTCACGAAAATTCCCCCAACCCTTGCCATACTGTGGATTCAAGACAGTGCTTTGGAGTGACAACGATGATATGTCTTTGCAATGCCCAGGAAAGCCAGCTGATGTACTTCCCAGCCCCAAGTGGCAGAACCAGGCAAGAGTGGTGAGCTCCCCAGGACACCTGCTGTGTCACTGATAGAACTGACCATCTGTCCCTTCTACTCTAGGCGGTCCTCTATCCCCATGTTTCTCATAGTCCAAGAACACTGATATTGATCCCTAAAATTAGTAAAGGCCAGAAACTTCTTATTTTCCTGCTTTGTCTCTTGATAATTCAGTGTTATCTCTTTCATCATGAATCCCATGAATGAACATTCCCAAATCTACCCCATGGCTTCCCAATACTCCCTCCTGAACCGCTGCCCTACTTGCCTTATATTGTTGAATACCCAAAGAGTTTAACTGTGTTACTATAACATAAAAGAAAACAATCAAAGTTATTACCTTGCAAATTGTTTTCTTCACTTTACTAATTATTCCATTCCACCTTAAGAGATTATATCAGTCCATTTTATGCTGCTGATAAAGACATACCTGAGACTGGGAAGAAAAAGAGGTTTAATTGGACTTACAGTTTCACATGGCTGGGGAGGCCTCAGAATCATAGCGGGAGGTGAAAGGCACTACTTACATGGCGGCAGCAAGAGAAAATGAGGAAGGAGCAAAAGTGGAAATCTCTGATATGCCCATCATATCTCATGAGACTTATTCACTGTCACAAGAATAGCATGGGTAAGAGTGGCCCTCATGATTCAATTACCTCCCCCTGGGTCTCTCCCGCAACATGTGGGAATTCTGGGAGATAAAATTCAAGTTGAGATTTGGGTGGGGACACAGCCAAACCATATCAGATGTTAACGTCAGCTCTGGTATGAACTAAAAAATATATTACTTCAGATTCTAAACTTTGTAAATAGTTAAAGGCTAACAAAGAATATGATAGAGCTCCAACATCATAATGAAGCGTAGAGTTTGCCATCTTAATACTTTGCAGTGAGTGGCAACTATCACCGTGGTGAGCCTTGCATGTTTGATTTATGAAAATGTATGATGCCTTACCAAAGGAGATTTATATTTGTTGTCCACTATGAAAACTAATCTTACCAACCAACACAAGAAGCAATTTCAAAGAATTATTTTCTTGCTCTAGTATTGTTGGTTTCTCTTCTGCCATTATCCTTTTAATCTTTATTCTTTTTAGCCCAATCATTGATGTAAAAGTGAATCTTTTGTTAATTTGAAAGTTGTTCTGTTTGTTTGAAGTGGGGGTAAAATGATTTATCATAAAACTGCCAGAAACTGGGTTTTAACGTATTTCCTTATTGTCCCATTGCACTCGATACATTTCCAGCCCCAGAAATTCCTCTGTCAGATTAAGTGACAGTTCATGACTGGATGAGACTTCATCCCCACTCTTACCCAATGCTAATCTACTGCTAGAATTGTAAGCAAGTTCATAGCTGATGCCAACACACAGTCTAACAGGAAATGCCTGAGAATGCTTAGTCTGTCAGGCAGCAGTAGCTAAGGCTCATTAGGGAGGCTCTGGTTCCAGATTTGCCATGGCAACTTCTAGAGATACATATCTAGTATGTTAGTGACATGCTGACATCACAGTTTGCTCCTTGAAAGAGGGGCAAGCAGAGGCACGACTCCCTTATTATCATGGTGATAATAATGCTGCTGTTAAAATCATGCTGCGTCTGGGGGAGGGGCAGAGAGGTGCTTTTACAGTTTAAATCACTGCCCAAGATAAGATCATGGAATATGTTACTGTTTTGCATGCTATTTTTTTAGAAGAAAAGTGAATTGCTATAGCAAATAAAAGTCTATTAGCATTTAACCAAAAAAAGATCTAATTTATTATTCTGCTTCCAACAAATACTTTGCTGTAACAATGAACTGTAGAATAAATACTGTTTATTCATAACTGTAACACCAAATTTAGGTCTTTTTCATCTTAGTTATTTATTTTATTAAGCATTGAAAAAACAATGGACTATTAATTCAGTGGGAAACTACAATGGTGGAGCTAAATCTTGAGACAGGCAGTCAGGTTCCTTCAAAACTATTGGATTTCACTTCAGTATCCCCAAAGACAGAATGGACACAGAGGGGATGAGGCATGGTGAAAGTTAGTGATGATCTTTGGGAGGCAGCCAGTTGCACTACTCCTTGAGCTGGAAAAAGGGATGTGGGTGGGAGCAAGCATGTCAGAGAAACAGCAGAGTGCCATGGAAGAATGGGACTGTCATCATCAGGGGCTGGGATGAAGATTCTCTTGTTAAACTCTGAATTTTCCCTGGGTGGGAGGTCTAGTTCTGAAAGAAGAAAGGAGAAATCGCACAGCTGAATTGACAAGGTCCCTGTGAAGGTTGGGACGTTGTCTTCAGCTTATCATAATCTGGACCAGATTTCTATTTTATCATAATCAGACAGGAATTGCAAGACAGTAGGGGATACAAACTGGTTACAAATATTTCCTTCTCATTTTATTTCCTTTTAAATGCAGTAAAAACTCACATCTAGATATTACCCTCTCTTAACCCCACTTCCCTGACCACCTACCACCCTATTTCTTTGCTCTTCTATCTTTTCCCAATGTCTTCAAGTTTTCTTCCCCCATTCCCCATTAAATCCAGTCCAAAAAGGATTCTGACCATCTCACTCAAACAGATCTGCTCTTATGAGGTCACCAGTGATCTCTACTGGTCCATATTCAGGCCTTATCTTACTTAACCCATGACTAGTTTATGAAGTTTATGATGAAACTGATTCACTGCCATCTTTGACATTGACTTCACCTGTCTCAGGGATACCAAAGTCTCCAAGTTTTCCTCCTTCATCACTCAATCATTCCTTTTTCCATTTTTTTTATTTTTTCCATTTTTATTATTTTTGTCTTCTCTTTATCCCCCCTCCCTTCCCCAGTTATTAAGATGTCCCAGGGCATTGACTCCATTGGCTATCACTATCTTACTTAGTCTCGTGGTTTTAAACATGTTATGTGTGCTAGCAACAACCAGATTAACAGTCCAAACCTGCTCTCTAGATTCCAGATAAAACAGCTTATTTGACATCACCACTTGGCTGCCTAATAGAAATCTCAAATTCAGCATGTCAAAAACTCAATCCTTTATTTCTAGCAGGGAGGACAGAGGACAAAGAAGCTGGCTGGGCCTTGCAACTCAGAGCATCTGGGCTGGGAAATGCAGCAGGACATGGAATTGGTGAAGAGTAATTAAAGAACTATGGGAACTCCATTTTAGACCTGGTAGGTATTAGTAGTAAAAGTTGTCATTCAGTTTTATTTTTGGCATTTATAATAGGTTCAAATATAAAAGAAGAGACAACACCAAAATAAATAGATCCACAGGGCAGTAAATTCTTCCAATGGTCTCAACGTCCTCAGTAATTACTTGATAGTTTCCAATAGTAACTGCATCTATAGCCATGCATATTTCCCCATTTGAGGGAAATCTCATCCCTTGTCTACCTCTAAGATCCATCTTCACCTTATAGAGGCCATGGGAAAACTTCCTCTTTGCTCTCTGAAAGTTTGCTCAAAAATCAACTCACAAAAGGCAGATAAATTAGAGAAAAGGCATATAAATTTACTTAACATATACACAGGAGCCTTCAGAATGAAGACCCAAAGATACACAGAAAATTGCCCATTTTTATGCTTAGGTTAAACAAAGTATTAACATCTATGTAGAAATATTGAACAAAAAGGGGATGATCTAATGCTCATACTGAGTGGAGAAGCCCAGCAAGGCCTGTCTGCTTAGATTCTTCTTGGCCTCTCTGTTATAAGCATTCATTCCTTCTGGGTGTGGGGCAGGACTCTCTCTGGAATGGGTGTCTTGTGACCTACAGTCAAACCAGGTAGGTCAGATCATTTCTTTATGTACAGTTTTCACACAGAAAGGCTGAGGGGAAGTTAGGTAATATTTTTAGGCTTTATGGCTGGCTTTGGGGAAAGGGGATCCTGGCTTCTATGATCTGCCTTGGGAAGAGGAATTCTAGTTTCTGTGGCCAGCCTCGGGGGAGAATGGGACAGAGAGACTGGAGAGAAGGAGAAGGTCAAAGAAAAAATTTTTGCTTCTGAGGCCTTCATTTTGGGGTATTGTTTTCTGTTGAGTCTCAACAATTTCAAGAATGTTGTGCAATTCAGTAACCCATAGAAATATATTCCTTAGAGTTCTGAGTTACTCAGTCAAATATAGCTTCTTCTGAGGTGTCGCTTTAGTAAGAGGTGCCTTCTCATTCTTTCTTAATTCATCCACTAGCTAAACACAGGAACCCACATGCATGCATACACACACATCTTGAGGAAATATGGTAATCCTCAGAACAGAGTTTCCAGTCATATTAAGAAAGAAAATCATTGTTATCCACTTTTACACGGCCACTATTAATATTAGTAATTTGTTATTTTGAAAGGCAGTGGCAGTTGCCCTTTGTATTCCTCTTATCCTCACCGTGAGAAAATATTGTGTAGGTATATGTTTGTGTGTATATAAATACATATATATTCATAAAATAAAACATCATTTTAAGAACTGAGTAATAATCTGAGGCCCCTAAAAAGCCATCTTTCTTTTTTTTAATTATACTTTAACTTCTGGGGTATGTGTGCAGAATGTGCAGGTTTGTTACACAGGTATACATGTGCTATGGTGGATTGCTGCACCCATCATCCTGTCATCTACATTAGGTATTTCTCCTAATGCTATCCCTCTCCTAGGCCCCCACTCCCCAACAGGCCCCAGTGTGTGATGTTCCCCACCCTGTGTCCATGTGTTTTCATTGTTCAACTCCCACTTATGTGTGAGAACATGCGGTGTTTGGTTTTCTGTTCCTGTGTTAGTTTGCTGAGAATGATGGTTTCCAGCTTCATCCATGTCCCTACAAAGGACATGAACTCATCCTTTTTTATGGCTGCATAGTATTCCATGGGGTATATGTGCCACATTTTCTTTATCCAGTCTATCATTGCTGGGCATTTGGGTTGGGTCCAAGTCTTTGTTATTGTGAATAGTGCTGCAATAAACATATGTGTGCGTGTGTCTTTACAGTAGGATGATGTATAATCCTTTGGGTATATACCCAGTAATGGGATGGCTGGGTCAAATGGTATTTCTGGTTCTAGATCCTTGAGGAATCACCACACTGTCTTCCACAATGGTGGAACTAATTTACACTCCCACCAACAGTGTGAAAGCATTCCTATTTTCGGATCACATAAATCTTTTGCCTTTTATTAATGAAAAGTCATCTTTCTATTGATGTCCATCTATTACAACAGTAAGACCCAACAGAAGCTTTGAAATTCAAAATTCTGTCTCAGTTGAACAGCCAGGTCAAAGTCCTGAACTCCCACTTTTCTTCTGTAAAATCAAAACAGGAAACAGTTGTGATCCTTCTGCACGATGAAACCCCAGAGATTGAAGATTGAGTGTGCCCGTAGACACACACACACACACACATCACCTCTCAATACAGATGTTGAAAATAGTAGCTTGATTGCCAGGGACCACAGGAGGCACTGCCTCCCTGCCAAGCCAGTGGATGTCTGCCCCAGGCTGCCAAGGCACAGATTGGGCATGGGTTGACTTCAGTGAAAGGGGAACTAGTACTCAGATCTAGAGTTCTGGAGAAGATACCTCGCCTTGGACTAATACTGTTGTTGACACCAATAATATCACCTCTCCTGCTGCCTTAAACACCATTTCTTATCAGGGTAGTACTTCTGACAGGTTGCCGTTATGTCTTGTACCCAACATCCATCAAAGATAGAAGAGAAAGCGCTCAGGTAGATTTTCAGAGTGTTTTATTTGAAACCTTGTTGCAAAATTTGAATCATAAATGTGGTGTTATATAAACACACCTGGAATTACAGGTGTGAGTCACCATTCCCAGCTTTCTCATCTTTAAGATGCGTACTAACCTAAGCAAATGGTAAAGATATCGTTTAATAGATGCTATGTCAGCATCTGAAAGGCAGAACCCACAATATCTGTGGATAAAGAACAAATTAAAGGAGCTATTTGATTTGTAAAAATACATGGGCTAGCACATATTTCTGAGAAATAGCAATAGCACAAAGAATAAAAATTATGCTAGTTATTTTTACTACTCATTCCATAAGTATTTGTTAGCTACCTACTTTTTAATAGGTACTGTGAGTGACACTGGGAATACAAAATAAACGAACATGATTTATGACTTCAGAGTACTCACATCAGGACATCAGGAATTGAGAGTAAAGATATACACAAGGACACGCCTATCCAGTAATCTCCCCTGCCCGGTTCATTTTATAGTAACTCTTTTTTCTTCCAGTGCTATGAATACACACGAATGAGTTTGCCAAAGTTACACTGCAATAAGAATTAAAACTTGCTATCAAGCAATTTTTTTCTTGACCATAGCTAGGTAATATGAGTTAATCGTTCTCAAAGTAGACTGGAAGAAAAAGTAAGATAAGAGGCGACTGATTATGGTAATAAAATAATTAAATTCCATTAAGATCAATTACCAACATAGGGATCTTAGCAATTTTCTCTGTAATCATTCTCAATGGTCCTTTCTCTTACTGCCTTATGCCACAATATTTATTATCTAGAAAGGAAATTAACCCAATCCTCTCATCTCTTCCTGGCTTGATTCAGACGGCTCATTTTCTCATCAGAATGAATCCTGCATTCATTCCATTCTTTGATTGTGTGATATTCACATTTCCTTTGATTTGCCCCAGCACAACACATTTTCAACACCCAATGTGAAGTCCACATGTTGCAAAGGATGACTGGCTTTTGCTGAGTGTCTATAAACCAGGGCTGGCTTCTTTCCTATTCCTAATCTACTCTATTGAACACTGTTCTTTTGAGCAAAATCAGATGCTTAACATCCTGAAGTATCCTGTAAGCTTGAACCTGAAAAATAGTTACATATATAATGCTTATATATTACTGCTATGGATATTTCTAAAATTACTTATTAGCTTTCAGAGACAAACCTTATATCTACTCAGCAAATGGCTGTTATGATCCTGAATGCATAGTGTGACCCATTTAAACCAGATCAATCTAAAGTAGGTAAGTCCTTGGACTTCAAACTGTGCTACAAGCTGACCAGCTGCCTATTAGTAAAGTAAGTTACTTATATCATCTGCCTTGAGTTTCTTTACTTTAGTCATTTTTTATTACCATCAGTGTTGAAGTTGGGAGTAAATTAGAAGCTTCTTCTGGATGTGGGGGTAAAAATTATAATAAAATACCAACTAATCCAAGTTGATATTCTCTTCACACATACTCCCAAAAAGGAAGCCATTTGAGGTAGTGTGCAACCTTACAATATTCATTTATTCAATAAATATATATTGATCACATAGTATGTGCTAGGCATTGTTCTAGGTATTGAAATTGAGCAGTGAAGAAAACACTCTTGCCCTTATGGAGTTTACATTCTAATAGGGGAAAAATAATCAGGGACAGGAGAAATAATCCAGGAACATGACAGAATTAGTTACTCATTTGCACAATAATGCAGGACTGATTATTTTATAGGGGGAAAGACTCAAAGTCGTGTGACATAAGACATTGCATTTTTCTCATATGAAATTAGGAAAAAAATTCTCTTCTTAAGATAACATGCTTACTTTCTTGAGAAACTCATGAGAGAATCAACGATAATGTTCATTATCGGAGAGGCAAAAATAGGAATTGGATTGGAGCACCAACATCCATTCTCACCCATGGTATCTAAGCCCACCTCCTCTTGATGAGTGGAGGAGAGCCTCCTCTAGCACCCACACAAAGTATGAGGCCCCCCAGTTTCTAAGACCCAAGAAAGGATCAAAGGAAGGGTGAGAGGGGCATTTCTTCCTCTAATAAAAAGACTGAAGTTTCCCAAAGCAGCCCCAGGGCACTTGACTAAGGGCCATGAGGGGCTGTGTTGAAGCTAAAGGGCAAAAAGAAAAGAGAAGGAGGGGTCAGGACCAAACACCCGCAGGTAGGCACCCTCTCCTGGAGGGGGGAAGTCCATCAGCCCCTTCCCTTGAGTCCTATAAGGGAACAGCAAAGTGGCAACTTTGAGACTCACGTTATCCCCAACAAAATCAAGTGTGTGTTTGATCTGAGAAAAACTAAGCAGACAGGAGAGTCTCAGGAAAAGGATGGCAAATGTCCCTGAAGCATACTGCTGAGATTTCTACTGGAGACAACACACACTCACTCACACACACACATGCAGACTCGTAGATGAAGTTTCCACAGATTATCACCAGCAACACAGTGATGCCCTGATAGATGGCAACAAAACAAAAACAAAAGCCTCTACATATGAGGTTGTAAAACTGAATTCTAGATTATCCCGTACACACACACACACACACACACACACAAGTGAGCAAAAAATCTTCTTTAGGACAGAGGAGGGACTTTGCATGTAGAGTAAATAATGTATTCCATACAATGCTTGGAATTTCCTTGGGGAAAGGTACTCTAGCATTCCAGAGCATAATCATGCAAATAAAGTTCCCAACAGCCTCTACATGGTTCTATACCAAATAAATGGGTCAAAACAAACTCTAAGCCCTGTGTGACCAATTAACTCCACAAAAACACATACTAAACTTTACTGCAAATTTGAGCCACATAATCAAGTGATATAAAAATGTGTATTTATGTTCTGTCTACTTATAGTTTACATATGGATTTGACATGTAAAACAGATTACATTACTGAAAATAACTCAAAATACATAGCACACTTTTGATTACTATTTCATAGGGGCCTAAGGAACAGAGGGGAGTCCATGGGTAAAGAGTCTCAGCAGTCACAGGACTGACTCTTAGGTGAGCGTAGGTTAGTATATTATGTATTTTTCCCCTTTACTTAAGAACTGGAGCCATGTGCATACTATAAATTATGGAATACATACATTATTTATTAATTAAATTCTAACTATAAAGTTATAAAGCGGTACAAATATGGACGTCATTAAACTATTTTCAAAGGAAATGTTTCAATGTTTTCATGTTTGAATAGCTAAGTTAATTGATTGAACATGTTTAAATTTTATTCACATCCATTTATTATCAATTGATTAAGGCTTATAATTAATTCTAGAGATACCAAAACATTTGCATGTTTTTTTAAAAAAAACCAATTGCTCAAAATATGTTTCACTTCAAAGTGTCAACTTGCCATATTAAATTATTTCAACTTCAAAATACAGCCAAAACAAACACATTTTAAAAGCAGGGCAATTTAAGTACAGAGTTGGTGATATTTTAGGTTGTCATTACAAGTTCTCCTAGGCAGTTTATTGGCAAATATGCTCTCAAAGACAAAGCTTCTGAACAGTAAAGAAAACACTTGGTTTAAAAACTACATTCAGCCTAGACAGTCTTGAGAATCCTAACTTCTTTGGAGTGCAAATAGCTAGATTTCAAAGAGAATGAGAAAGCTGAATACACACACTCCAGAGACGTCCTCAGAGCCCACAGTCAACAGGAGACGTGCTGGGAAAGTGAGCTCTCTTACCTGCCTCCATCACTTCTTCATAAAAGAAGATGAATACTTTCCAGACAATGCTCTGAGCAGAATTACTCCCAAAGCACTGGGGGAGGACTGCTTCTCCATGGTACAACAATCCCTCTAGTGGCTGGGTCAGAAGGGTAGGCATTTCCATGAGCCTGCTGGAGAAGACCATGTAAGTATCTGTAATTTTAAGTTATTGGTCTTTCACTGGAGGTTCCCAGAAATTCAGGAAACTAACCCATCCTCTACTCAGTAGAGCCAATGTTTTTCTAAAAGTGACTTCAAGGATAGCTCCTACCAAGTCTAACACACTTCTTCATATAAACAAAATGGTAAAAGGAACCTAAATTTTGCTTACTACAAACAAAAATTTCATCATAAACATCACTGAATTTAGATACAATAAATGTCAATGTAAATACAATAATGCCAAACTTAAATGATATCTGTAAATTCAGTATGTCTGGCCCACTGTATACATTTTAAGGAGCATCATCCTGGATGAACTGAGATCTAGGTTACCAAATAAAACAAGTTAAAAAATTTTTTCTAATTCCAAACATACAAGTAACTTTGAGATCTGAACAAAGAAAAAAATGACTCACTGTTTATCCAATGAGGAAAATGAAAACTGTGTAGACCAGTCATCTGGATGGATTACTGACTTCTTTTTGGCTTTCATTTTATTTACTGCATATATGTTGGGTCGTTTTGTATTTTGTTCAGATCCCACAGTTACTCCTAAGGAGGTTTATTTTGACCATGCTATTTTTAAAAGTACCACCCTGCCCTCTATTCTTTTACTCTGCTTTGTTTTTCTTTATAGCAGGTGTGACATATTAACAACATAATATGTTTTTATTTATTTATTGCCATATCCTTCAGTAAAATGCAAGGCTCTTCAAAAATCAGAACTTCATTTATTTAATTCACTGCTATATCCTCAGTACCTAAGACAAGGTTTTGCAGAAAGTAAGACCTCAATAATTATTTGTGGACAGAAAAGTAAACAGAGACTTTTACGGCAAGTAGAGTCTATTGACATAAAGTATTTGTTTCCAAATTTTGACCCTTCCATTATGTCAGTAAGATAATGTATTAGTTTGTTCTCATGCTGCTATAAGGACATACCTGAGACTGGGTAATTTATAAAGGAAAGGGGTTTAATTGACTCACAGCTATACAGGGCTGGGGAGGCCTCAGGAAACTTACAATCATGGTGGAGGGGGAAGCAAACACGTCCTTCTTCACATGTCAGCAGGAAGAAGTGCCAAGCAAATGGGGAAAGGCCCCTTATAAAACCATCAGCTTTCATGAGAACTCACTCACTATCACAAGAACAGCATGGGGGGTAACTGCCCCCATGATTTGATTACCTCCCACTCAATCCTTCCCACAATACATGGGGATTATGGGAATTACAATTCAAGACGAGATTTGGGTGGGGACACAGCCAAACCATATCACATAATATACTCTACCAAGTGATAAAGTAGTGTATTTCCACTTTGTACTTGGGAGAATAAATAATGAAAGAGAAATAGTGTTACAGATTTTGATATGCCAATAAGAGGAAATTCACAAAAAATTTAAAACTTTTTTTTTTAAAATGCACAGCCAAAGTCTTACTGTAGCCATTAATAATTTGAACAGCATCCTCCAAACCACTTGGTAGGCCTTTGTATACTCCTAGGACACACAGAGGATATACCTAGAGAGCCATGCGTCAGCATTCTCTTGTAGTCTAGGCTCCTGGAAAAAAAATAAGAATTTTGTAAGAACTACAAAATAGAGTAAAATATACTAAGAAACAATTCTACAAAAGAGACTATTATGTCCTTTGGGGAAAGCCTCTTCTCTCTGTATTTCCTGTGGCAGACTCCCAAGTCAGAATATCTTTTTTTATTTTTATTTTTATTTTACTTTAAGTTCCGGGATACACGTGCAGAACATGCAGATTCGTTGCATAGGTATACATGTGCCATGGTGGTTTGCTGCACCTATCAACCTGTCACCTAGGTTTTTTTTTTTTTTTGAGACTCGCTCAGTCACCCAGGCCGGAGTGCAGTGGTGCGATCTCGGCTCACTATAAGCTCCGCCTCCCAGGTTCACACCATTCTCCTGCCTCAGCCTCCCGAGTAGCTGGGACTACAGGTGCACACCACCATGCCCGGCTAATTTTTGTTATTTTTTTTTTAGTAGAGACAGAGTTTCACCATGTTAGCCAGGATGGTCTTGATCTCCTGACCTCATGATCTTCCTGCCTCAGCCTCCCACAGTGCTGGGATTCATCACCTAGGTTTTAAGCCTCACATGCATCAGGTATCTGTCCTAATTTCTCCCTCCCCTTGCCCCCCACACCCCCAACAGGCCACGTGTGTATTTTCCCCCTCCCTGTGTCCATGTGTTTTCCTTGTTCAACTCCCATTTATGAGTGAGAACATGCGGTGTTTGGTTTTCTGTCCCTGTGTTACTTTGCTAAGGATGATGGCTTCCAGCTTCATCCATGTCCTGGCAAAGGAGAGAATATGCCTTGAGTTTCATTAAAAAGCAAGTACTTTAACGTTGCAGTTTGTGAGAGCTAGTAAAATATAAGAATTGAGAGATCAAATTAAAGGAAAATAGTGTCTCATTCCATTCTGTTTCTTTGACTAACAGTTTGACCAATATCATTTATGATGATCAAGCACCACTTATGTAAGAAGTAGTATAACAACACAATTTCAATTATTTTCAGAAAAGGGATTAATGTTGGACTTGTGGTTAAATATTATTCTACTCCCTCCTGAAACCCACTAACATAACAATAAAGAGATGGATAAAAATGGCAAAGCCCACAAGAGCTAAACAAAATTGTAACTGGGAAATCAGTGGATAAATGGCAACTGATATGGCAGAGAGGAGTAAGCCTAGACTTAAGTTAGCAGAGAAAGCCCAGGAGCCCCAGAAAATCTCAGGAATTAGAGACATTAGGTAATCTTAGAAGTGGGGATTCAGGTGAGGCAGAATACAGAATGGCAGATAGAATGTCAGTAGAAACCTGTAAATGCCTATATAGAAAGTACTGCACTCCAGATCCTACATAGACACACACACACACACCTCATCCAGCTGGAAAGCCACCTATCCTCCAATGAGAATAACAGTGTCCTTCACTCTAATATAAATGGAGACTTCTACTTCTGAGTATGATGGAGAGCTAAGAACAGCAGAGCTAAGAACAACTAGAAAGGTAATTTTAAAAAAATTAAAGCTGTTTGAAGACATATAAGAACTCCTGAAATAATGGATTGAGAGGAGGAGGGAAACAGCAGATAATGAGCTGATATTTCTGCAGTGGCATTCCCCTAGTGCATTGCCAATTCTGAGAGCAGGACAAGAAGTCAGCAATGCAGACTTTTCTCAGGCAGAGGAGAAACCAGCAAAGATTTTAGCAGTCTTCTGATGCTGGGAAGATAAAAACTGTAACAAAGTAACAAACAAATAGAAAGTCCAAAATCACAGTGAAAAAGAGAGAAATGGAAAAAGAAGGCTAACACTCATCTGGTATTATCCTTAAGACAAGAGTTCTGAAGTATCATGGGGCAGGAAGCTGAAAGCTAAGCAGAAATCTTTCAAGGAGCAGAGGGTAGATTTTTATGATCTTAAACTTCTGAGACAGCAAGGATTAAAGTTCAGGGTTTGACAGTGAAAAGGGTCTCAGTGAATAAAACAAGCTCTTGGTTGGAAGATCTGCAGAGCTATGCCCCAAGAGTGGATCTAAAACAGAGGTAGAAAAAGACATCCCATGTTCATGGATTGGAATAATTAATATTGTTAAAATGTCCATGCTACCCAAAGCAATCTACAGATTCAATGCGATCCCTATAAAAATTCCAATGACATTTTTACAGAAATTTTAAAAACAATTTTAAAATTAATATGGAGGCACAAAAGACCCCAAATAGCAAAAACAATCTTGAGCAACAAAAACAAAGCTGAAAGCATCAATTACCCTATTTCAGAGTCTACTACAAAGCTATAGTAATCAATACAGCATGGTATTGGCATAAAAACAGACATATGGACTGATGGAACAGAATAGAGAGCCCAGAAATAAGTCCACACATTTACAGTCAATAACTACAATAACTTGGGGATCTTCTATAATAATTTGGGGATCTTCAACAGATTCCCCAAGAACACAAAATGGAAAAAGTACAGTCTCTTCAATAAATGATGCTAGTAAAGCTAGATAGCCACATTCAGAAGAGTAAAATTAAACTTTTATCTCACACTGTACACAAAATCAACTCAAAATGTATTAAAAACTTAAATGTAAGACCTGAAATTTAAACTAATAGAAGAAAACATAGAGAGAAAGCTCTACAACATTGGTCTTGGCAAAGAATTTTTGGATATGACCCCAAAAGCATAGGCAACAAAAGCAAAAATAAACAAATAGGATTGCGTCAAACTAAAAAGCTTATGTACAGCAAAGAAAACAATCAACCAAGTGAAGAGGCAACCTACAAAATGAAAGAAATATATTTGCAAACCATACATCTGATAAAAGGTTGATATCCAAAATATATAAGGAACTCAAACAACTCAATAGCAAGATAACACATAACTCAATTAAAAAATGGGCAAAGGGACTGGGTGCAGTGGCTCATGTCTGTAATCCCAGCACTTTTGGAGGTCAAGGCAGGCAGATCACTTGAGCTCAGGAGTTCAAGACCAACCGGGGCAACATGGCAAGACCCTGTCACTACTAAAAATACAAAAAAAATTGCTAGGCGTCATGGCATGCACCTGTGGTCCCAGCTACTTGGGAAGCTAAGGTGGGAAGATTGCTTGGGCTCAGGAGGCGAAGGTTGCAGTGAGCTGAGATTGTGTCACTGCACTCCAGCCTGGGTGACAGAGCCAGACACTGTCTCAAACTTAAATTTTTAAAAAAAGAAATGGGCAAAGGACCTGAAGACAAATGGCCAAAAGATATATGAAAACATGCTCAATGTCACTAATCACCAGGGAATACAAATTAAAACCACAATAAGATGTCACCTCACACCTGTTAGAGTGGCTATTATAAAAAAGACAGGGGATAGTATTTGTGAGGATACAGAGAAAGGGGAACACCTCTATACTGTTAGTGGGAATATGAATTAGTAGAGCAATTATGGAAAATTAAATGGAAGTTTCTTGAAAATCGAAAGTAGAACTACCCTATCATATGATCCAGCAATTCCCCTTCTGGGTGTATGTCCAAAGGATATGAAATTAGTATATCAAACAGATGTCTGCACTCCCATATTAACTGCAGCATTATTCACAGTAGCCAAGATAGAAAATCAACCTTAGTGTTCACATTTACTTATGTAACAAACCTGCACATCCTGCACATATACCCCTGAACTTAAAATAAAAGTTTAAAAAAAGCTTTTTAATAGAGCAAAAATAAATAAATAAAAATTTTTAAATCTTAGTGTTCATCAATGAACGTTTAAAGAAAATGTGGTATATTGTGGTATAGATATACAACGGGATACTATTCAGCCTTTCAAAAGAAGGTAAGCCTGTCATTTGTAACAACATGGATGAACCTGGAGGACATTATGCTAAGCAAGATAAGTCAGGCACAGAATGATGAATGCTACATGATCTCACTTATATGTGGAATCCTTAAAAAGTCAAATGTGTAGAAATATACAGTAGAATGGTGTTATCAAGGGCCTAGGGTTATGGGGGAGGAAGAATTGGAGAAATGTTGGTCAAGGGATACAAAATTTCACTTAAACAGGAGGAATAAGTTCAGGAGAGCTATTGTAAGCACGATGAGTGACTATGGCTAATAACAATGTAAAGCATACTAGAAAATTGCTAAGAGAGTAGATTTTAAATGTGTTCACCAAAAAAAATGATAAGTATGATGATTTAGCCTTTCCACAATGTATACTTATATCAAAGCATCATGTTGTACAATTTTTGTTTTATTTTGTTGTTTACTTTGTTATTAACTAGTAAAAGTATATAATTTTTACTCATCAATTAACAAAATTAAAAATTACAATTTTTTAAAAATAAAACAGAGTTAGAAAGAACTTACCAAAACTGTAATCCAGCTTTGATATATCTCAGTCCCTGATTGGATTAAGGTGAGCAGTTCTACTCTATCTGCCTGGAAAACGAAAAGTAAAACCTCTTTGGAGGAAGAAATCATTATTTGAACCTCTACAATTTTTTTCTTACCTAATGTCTCATATTCAATCAACAATTACTAGGCATGACAAAAGACAAGATCATATCAACAAAACTCAAGACAAAAAAACAGGAAATAGAAACAGGCCCATAATGACTATATATTGGAGGTAGCAGAGAGTGACATTAAAATAATCGTGATTAATATGTTCAGGAAAACAGAGGAAAAAGTGGCAAATCTCACCAGAGGACTAGAATCTATAGAAAAGAATCAAATAAAAACTCTAAAACTGAAAAGTAATATCTCTAAAATTAGGAACTCAATAGTTGGTTTTAAAACAGGTTACATATAAAGAAAGGAGACTAGTGATATAAAAGACTGGTAAATAAAAAACCCAAAGTGAAGAACTATGAAGAAAGGACTAGAAACTATTTTTAAAAGTAAAACCCAACTAGGTCAGTCAAATGGCATAATATATATGTAACTGGAGTCTCAGAAAGCTAAGTGAGAGCTAGAGAATTGAGTAGAATCACTATTTACAGAAAAAATAGCTGAGATCTTTAGAAACTGATGAAGGATGTTAACTTGCAAATTCAAGAAATGCTATAAACCCCAAACAGAATAAGCAAGAAGATTATTTGCTAATTAAGTAAATGAATAAAGAGTCGATGCCATAATCCAAACCTGTAAGCATATCATTGCCATGGCAATAAAAAATTGGCTTAGGCAGCCCAGCACAGTGGCTCGCACCTGTAATCCCAGCACTTTGGGAGGCCCAGGCAGGTGGATCACCTGAGGTCAGGGGTTCGAGGCCATCCTGGGCAACATAGAGAAGTCCCATCTCTGCTAAAATTACAAAAATTAGCCAGGCGTGTTAGCACGCACCTGTAATCCCAGCTACTTGGGAGGCTGAGGCAGGAGAATTGCTTGAACCCAGGAGGCAGAGGTTGCAGTGAGCCGAGATCACACCACTGCACAACAGCCTGGGTAACAGAGCAAGACTCCGTCTGGGAAAAAAAAAGAAAAAAAATTGGCTTAGGAGCAAGAGAGACAGCCATTTCTAAGGCCACCATCAACTTTTATGTTCTTGTTGGCATGACTAAAAGAGATGGAGGAGCTGATCTATTATTTAGCCAGTTGTGTATTGCCTAAGCAGTTGATTCAACTCATTAGGGCATAAGTCACATTAGGGAAGGGATTTCCTTTCTTGCTCATGCTCTACCCTCAGTGCCTGAACTGTGACTTTTTCACAGTAAGAAATCAACTAACATTTATGGCATTAATGAATGAACCATCTAACCATTCATTCATCCTCAAAGATTACTGCCAAATATGCATGAATTTTCTTTCAATGGAATTGCAAATAATACTTATTATCTCACTCAACTTTATCTCTGGGGCTATGGGCAAATTGCTGACATATTATTTTAAGTGCTGGCCCACAATTTTAAAATAGGAGCTCATCTCTGAGAATATCTTGAACCAATGGACACTTCTACTTAATTTTCACACACTTATCTACCAACTTATTATTGCACTGGTCCACCTTATTAACCTTTTATGTTTATCAGCTTGGATGATACAGGTTACAGACAATAAACAAAGAGGTGTCCTCAGAATTATTGCTTGTTGGATTATCAGATTCCAGTTTTTTTTTCCATCATACTTTTTTAAAATTGAATGATCTGTCAGTTTTTCACAGAAAGTTTTTGAAGAGAATCTTCAGATATGCCCTTGGTTAAGTCACTTCTTTCTGGGCATCCATTGCTAATCAGAACAGAAGACAGTTAGACCACAACAGAGGCACAAATAGAGCAAAACTCTGAGTGGATGGAAACTATAGATACATCTTATTTTACCTGCAGAGAGGTTTTCTGGGGGTGGGGGGTTATTTATGCGTGTGTGGCTGAGGGGGTGGTTGGTTGCCAATATATAAAAATGTTGTTACATAAAGATTCAAACATCCAACTTTCTAGCTACTTCAGAAGTCAGATCTGGCAACACTGGGTCCAAAGTCTCATGTGGTGGCCAAAGGAAAATTCCTCCTGTGTCCTCCAAAGGTTTGCTGAAAACCAATTCACAAAAAGCAGATGAATAGGAGAAAGGGCATACAAATTTATTTTAATGTGCATACATGGGAGAATTGTAGATTGATTACCTAATAACCCAACGGGGTCCAGATTGTTATATACCCTTCTTCTTAGGGGAAAGGGAGATGGAGCAGTGTAGATGACGTTAATGGGTTAGTAAATGATCTTTAGGAGAATTCAATGGGCTTGAAGAATATACAATGGCCTGGGACAGAGTCTGTTGGACCCTCAGAGCGAACAGTGGTTTGTGATAAAAATCTGTCCAGGTGTGTTGACAGACTTTAGTCTTCCTTCCTGCAACATAGTTCAGTTAATGAAAACTCATGGAAGGGACCAGAAGTCATCCTTTCCTTTTTTGGAGGGTCCAGATTTTAGGCAGATGAGAGTACTTATAAGAGTAACTTAATCCTGTACTTTGGGAGAGACAGGACTGAGAGAGAGGACGGTGGGTGGGTAGGTCAGAAAGATCTTTAGGCTTCTTTTTCAGTTCAGCATGTCAAAGGGCCATATTTTGGGGGTATTGTTTTCTGAGCCTCAACATTCACATGAGAACAGGTCAGGGCTACCCTCTTCCATAATAGCTTGATTTCTCTGGTTCTCCCCGTGCCTTCAAACCCACATTACCCCTTAATGTGACCTGACCCCTGAACTAGGTGAGTCCTGATTTCCTTGTGTATGGAGCATTCTGTTATTTTATAAAATACTGTCAATTAGTGTATTAAGCCATTCTTGTATTGCTATACAGTACTGCCTTAGACAGACTGGGTAATTTATTTTTAAAAAGAGGTTTAATTGGCTCGCAGTTCTGCAGGCTGTACAAGCATGGCCCCAGCATCTGTTCAACTTCTGGGGAGGCCTCAGGAACCTTTTACTCATGGTGGAAGGTGAAGTGGGAGCAAATATTTCACATGGCGGAGCAGGAACAAGGGAGAGGTGGGTGCCACACATTTTTAAACAACCAGAACTCACGAGAGGTCATTCACTATCACTTGGAAAACACCAAGACATGAAGGATCTGCTGGGACTCAGTCGCCTCCCACCAGACACCACCTCCCACATTGGGGACTACATTTCAACAAGAGGTTTGAGAGGACACAGATCCAAACCATCTCAATTGGTATTGGATGACTAATAAGCATTTCATAAACATGTGCATTGGTTAAAACTATGTTGCCACTATATATGATTTATTTATGTTTAAGATCATAGGCAAAGTTGATGCTCTGAGTCTCAGTTTCCTCATCAGTAATGAAGGGAATAGGTTGCTAAATGAGGGGCTACTGGGGCCTAGTGGTCCTATGCAGCCCACTGCCCTCCCTCTGAATTTAAGGCTGCTTCTCAAATATGCCCAGATATTAACACTGAACGACTATAAACTGGAGAACATTTCCATTAACACTCTGCTAGTTAATGAAGTAGATAATATAAATTGTAAAATGGTATTCTAAGAAGCAATAATAAAGGGCTGAGGGCTATCTTCTTAACAGAAATATTGGAAGACAGAAGACAATAAAGTTGTATCTTTAAAAGGCTTTATGACAATAATTGCCAACATGGAATTCTATACTTTGTGAAGATGTTTCAAAAATCTAGATGAAATAAAGACTTTCCCATCAAGCAAAAGCTTTGAAGATTTGTTGCCAGCACAGCACATCTAAATGAAAAGAAATACTAAATAAAATTCTTCAGGCAGAGGAAAAACAGTTCCAGAAGCAATGGTGGAAATGACAAAAGGAATGAAGAGCACGAGAAAAGGGAAATTCATGAACTCAACGTAAAAACAAATGAAGTTTGGCTATGCAAAACAATAGGTCTGCAAACACTGACTATGAAAAACAATGATGTCTTTGCAGGGTTTCAAATATATGTAAAATAGTCACAAAAATGTATGACAACGGTAATTCAAAAGGAAAGAAGGGGTAGAATTGCAGTAAAGTGCCCTAAATTTCTAATATTATCAGATAGAAGGTAAAAGTAAATATACAGCCCATAGTAAGCAGACATTACAGAAAAGCCCCTCATGTAAAAGACAGAGACCAAAGTAACAACAAGCAAACAGAAGCCAGTCTGAAAAGAAACAAAGACAATATAGAGAGGGGAAGACAAAATAATAGATAACATACTCAGAGCAAAAAAAAAAAATTAATTAATAGACTTAGATCAGAAAAGATGTGCATCCATGAAATAAGAAAAGAAAGCAAAAAAGGGGCATTCAGAAAACAAAATGTACAGTACTTTTGGAAATTTAAATGAAAATAGAAACTAAAGACTGGGAACCAACCCAAATGCCCATCAATTATAGACTGGATAAAGAAAATGTTGCACGTATACACCATGGAATACCATGCAGCCATAAAAAAGGATGAGTTCATATCATTTGCAAGGACATGGATGAAGCTGGAAACCATCATTCTCAGCAAACTAACACAGGAACAGAAAACCAAACACCACATGTTCTCACTCATAAGTGAGAGTTGAACAATGAGAATACATGGACACGGGGAGGGGAATCTCACACACCGGGGCCTCTCGGGGAGTCAGGGGCTAGGGGAGAGATAGCATTAGGAAAAATACCTAATGTAGATGACAGGTTGATGGGTGCAGTAAACCACCATGGCACATGTATACCTATATAACAAACCTGCACATTCTGCACATGTATCCCAGAACTTAACGTATAATTAAAAAAAAAAAAAATCAACCAGACATTGTGGCACATGCCTGTAGTCCTAGCTACTCAAGAGGCTGAGGCAGGAGGATCACTTGAGCCCAGGGAGTTGAGGCTGCAGTGAGCCATGATTGTACCACTACACTCCAGCCTGGGCTACAGAGCAGGACCCTGGAAAAAAAAAAAAGAGAGAGAGAGAGAGAATATTTAAATAAGTAAAAGTGTTTTTCATTTTCCTAATTTTGCAAATCATGCTGTAATAAATATCTTTATAATTAAAGTTTATTAAGGAAAAACATTTCAATAACAGGATTTGAGGATAGTGCTAAGTAATCTCTCAAAAGATAGAGTAAAAAAAATAGGTGAAATATAAGACAGGAAAGATGAGAAAAGATTAGGATCAATCCAGGAGATCCAAAATCAGAATAATAAGAGCATTAGAAAAAAAATAGATAAAACAGAAAGAAGGAAACTATCAAACTTTTTTTTTTTTCAAAAAAAAGTCTCCACATTGAAAGGCAGGAGTTTCCAGATTAAAAGTACTAATAAAAGCAATAAAAGAAAAATGCATTATAAGCCACATCATTAAGAAATTTCAGATCACCAGGGACAATAAAAAGGCCCACTAATTTCCAAAGAGAATTAAAAAGCAAAAAGTCGATTCAATGGATCAAGAATTAATATCGCATCAGATTTCTCAACAGAGATACTGGATGCCCTGAGAGCAGGAGCAGTGCTTGCAAAAATTCTGCAGCAACCTGACTTTCATCTTAGAATCTAGAACTGGCTAAACTAGAAATCATGTGTGAGGATAAAATTAAATCATCATCAGACATGTAAGGTCTCCAAAACTTTGCTTCCTATGCCCCCTTTCTTGATCAACTCCTAAATGGCATTTTTCTCAACTAAAATATGGGAGAAAACCAAGAAAGGGGAAGACAGGAGCAAGTTAGGAGAACCTTCACAAGGTGGCGAGGGGAGGCTGAAGGATGGCAGTTGTGTGTCCAGCCTTGGCAGACAGTCCAGATCAGAACAGGAAAGAGGACCTCCAGAGGGATGTGCTCCCAGCGCTCTACCTCCCAACAAAAGGGACGTAGATAGGTCACATTATTTTCACATGTACTGGTTGTACTTGAGAGAATGTTTACATGTCTGGCTGACAGTTTGGGAATAAATTAGTGATAATTGGTATTTACACAGAAACCTAAGGAAAGAGAAAAAGAAAGAAAAACAGACAAAAAAGAAGCAATTATTTACCCCAGGAAAATCTAAACGTATAAAAGAAAAGAACTGTAACCATACCTTGCTACACTTCACAGCCGTGAATAGTTACATAGTACCAACAATGTAAAGAGTGAATATTGATGTAATCAAAAATTATAATGCAACACAAAGAGAGGATGAAGAGGGAGATATATCTTGGGGTTGTGGGAGGTGATTTTAAGAACACTAAATTCTTGCCTTCCATATAGTAAGGGGCCAGTAAGTAAGACCTAGAACTGGAAACAAATCAAGAAATAACACTACAAGCAGGTTATTTAGAAATATGGCAATAAACAGCAGAAGAAACAGCTTAAAGTTGAAAGAGGTAGTCTCTGGGGAGTTGGAATGGAGGCGGGAAGGGTGGGACAGGATATTGCTGTTTTTCATTATGAGCTTTGTAGAAGGTTTGACTTTTTAAACAATGTACATGTATAACTTTGATAAAACAATATTAAATTTAAAAAGAGAGGGTGACGTGAAGCTTTGAGAGCTCCAAAATAAAACTAGAATGAATCATTGGTATGACACTAAACTTGAAATGCTTGAATTCTAAAGCTAAAACCTTGCTTTTTCTGGTCCTCACTTTTCTCAAGGGGATTGATTAATTCAGAATAAAAAAAAATCCCTGTGAACTACTAATTACTAGCAATTAATGTCCCTTTTTCTTAAGTCCAGTTACAAATCATTGTTGCCTAAGAACTAGGACTGCCAAATTCATTCTAAGGAGGTGCATAGCTCATAAGGTACGTTATAAAAGCCAAGGTGAAAACCTATACTTCTTGTTCTATTTCCCTTGTGTGACTAAACAAAAGGCATGAATAGCAATGCGACTGTCTGTAAAGCTGAATGTGTACCAGGTGCAAGGACAGATCGCACTTCATGTTAGTGAATACACCAAGGATTTCATTACTAAACGACTTCAATCTGCTGAAAAGAATTACTGCCACCAGAGGACCTTTATTAGCAGAAGCAACTATGAATGAATGAAAATGCAACATAAAGCAACACAGGCATTTCCAAAAAAGCATTGGAAGATCAATAGCTCTTTTAGATTTCTCCAAAGAATAGCTCCTCCTCCCTATTTTCACATCTAGCGAGAAATGGTGTGCTCCTTTCTTTATCACACTGTTTTTCCAGGTAGCTATTAACAAAGAAGGCTCTCCTTTGCTGCTTTCTTCTGCCTATAAGCATTTTTAAGCTAGCATTGACCCTAAGTGGGTCAGAGCTTACACTGATGTCAGGTTAGCATGGCATTGCAGCCATGAATCTCATCCATGGTTTGAGGAATTAAAGCATAATAATGGAATCCTAACAACTATCCTCTAACTTATATAGTTGCTTAAAATTACTTACTTGCTTAAATATTGATTCTTGCCCAATGACCATAAGTGGTGAAATTTACAATGCAGACAAAAAAAAGTCCAGTTAGTGAGGCCGGCCGTATCTAGTTTCCTCTATTTTCAGCTGCCAACAAGAGAGTATTTCTCTTATTTTGAAACATATTTTCTCCCATAGAGGGAATAAGAATGACTGCAGAACAAGAATTTAGGCAACATGCATTTTGGAAAGAAACCAATGTGATCCGGGTTTTGGTAAATTCTGTCTATGGAATGTTTCTGAAAATAATTATCCAGTCACAGTATTCAGTTAGCCATTTCTGAAAACTTGATTTTCATTGTGCTGGCCACTTTGGCAGGCTTTCTAATTCTCAGATGGTTTCCATCCATTCACCCTGAAAACATAAGTGCTAATTGTCTTGCTCTGGACTCTCTTAGTAGGTGTAAACTTTCCATTTGAGTCATGAGGGTCCAGCCCCATGATTCTTGTTAATGTTAATAAATAAAGCTCTATAGTAAAATCTTGGCCAGAGTGAAACAGCTCTCAGAACATATGGACTCAAGATGATCATTCACACCAGGCACCAAGGAACTCAATCCAAGAACCTAAATGTGTAGTTTCTTCCTAGCTCAGACTGGTTTTCTGCCTCATACAAAGGAAGAGGTAAAAAGCACTTATAACTTGACCATTCGATTCCTCACATTACATTTGGTAAAATTATGTCGCACTTTTCCAGTGTAGAGAGGAACTGTTAAGGTGAGAATTTTTTACTCATCACCACCTTCTTCAGGGAAGGTATTTAGCAGGCATAATATGTGGAGTTCCAATCTTCTGGGAGAGACCGGACCTAACTTGAGACAGTTAATTGACAATGATAGGTAGAGTTCCCTAAATGACAAATGAATGATGCAAATAAAATAATGCTAAAGGAACTGGGGAAGGGGAGGTACATGGTTTGGGCAGGAAAGGTAGATCAGAAAGAAATGGCAATGAACTGAGCCTTAGGAAAGTTTGAGACAGAACTAAATGGAGAGGCAACATAATATAATTTTTAAGAGTATGAATTCTGGAAAAATCTACCTGGTTGTGAATCCCAACTCTGCTGTGTAATAGCCATGTGGTCTTAAACAATTTGTTTAATATTGCTGAGCTTTAATTTTCTCTCTTGTAAAAATAGGATTAAATAGTATCCACCATCTTAAGGGGATGCCAGGTTAAATTTAATTAAAACATGTAAAGGACTTAGGTCAATGTTTAGCACAGAGTTGCTGTTGTTGCTATATAACAAATGAGAGAGGAGTTCAGAAGACATTCCAAGAAAGGGAAATATCCCAGCAAATTAACAAAATATATTTAATCACATGATTACACTGAAATGAAAAGCTCATGACAGCACCAACATCAGAAAGTTTTTCCATTTGTTCCTCATACTGGTGAACCGGCAATTTGAAAAGATAAGTATGTAAGTGGTGAGATTTCACTTAAATAAAGAATTACCCATATCTGTGTTGGAAATTTTGATTATTTGTCTAAAATGTAAAGAGTGGAAGCATATGTCACTAATTTTAAAAAAGGCAGTTCACATATTTTTTTAATGACTTCAGTCAGACGTGAAGACCCAGGTGCTTCAGAGGCAGGCATTAGCGCAACACTAGAAAACAAGAAAATGAGGTGCCAAACAGTCTACATGATTTAGAACTCATTTCTCTAGTCACTATGAATGCAAATGTCTCATTTACATAAAATCCACTCATATAGATGCTAATCGAGAGCAAAGGAGAGGCTACCACTTTTCCTATCTAGCATCAGAAACAGGAAATCAGAATTCAAATTATTCCCGTTGGAAATAGTGATAGGATCTCTCAAATTGTTATGTTGATCAGCTTTAATATTTTGATATTCAAGAAGTATCTATTGAATAAAGAGTACTTATGGAGTGTTAACCATGACCCAGGCATTGTCCTAAATGTTTTTAATGCATTTTTCATATAATTTTTTACAACAACCCTAATTAGAATGTTCCATTATTATTCCTTCTTTTGCTGATAAAGAATTGAGACTTAGAAAGGTTAGGAAAGTTGCCTTGTATCGCAAAGTAAGTGTGTCTATCTGATTTTAAAGTACATGCTTCCTGCTCAATGTTAAAATGTTTAATATAACTCCATTAGCACCCACCTCTCACCTGCATCTGCCCAGTTCTACTCCCATTTCCAGAAACAGAGCATCCAAAGAGAGGCTTCTTTTCCTTTAAGCCAGGCAGAAATTTATGCAAGGGAGAAATATGGAAGGAATAAGTATGGTGCTAGGGACTATGACAGAATTGTCCACCTGAATGCAAAGGAGAAAGCCCAATACTTAAACTGCCATTGCATGCCATTCTGTTTTAATCAGCCAACAGTAGCAACAATCTAATTGAGGAATCGAATTGCCACATTAGGTAGAAGACAAACTGCTTAAGTAGTTGTTTTTACCAAATATTGAAGACAGTTTCAAAGGCCCAAGGCAAGGAAATAAGATTTGTGCATTTACAGCTAGATGCTTCTGATAATTTCTCATAACGTCAGAGTTCTTAAAATGTTTTATTTCCGGCAATCTGTAGGAGTAAGACATTAGAGCCAAGTGAATCAGCATAGAACCTTGCTGCTGATTCTCTGATTTTGAGAGCAATATTTATTTTCCTCTTGAGAAGATTGTTTTAGGATCTTGCATCTGTTTCTATGCCATTCAGTTGGCAGCTGCTTCTCCCTATTTCCTCCCACACCCACCAAGGTGTCTCAGCTCTACCAAGAACTCCCACGCCCCACCTCCATGAGTTCTTACACCCACCCTGCTGTGCAAAGCTTCCTCGGAGGGGTCCTTTAATATTGCATCTCTTAATTCCAAGCACCACCCATATCACAAAACACAGGGTAAACTCACTCTACAAAAGAGTTGGGGGTAAAGTCATGTCCAGTAGTACATGACTAAAACCTTTAGTTAAATATAGTTATTCCAGAGTTCATGGGAAAAGTAAAAAAATAAAATAAAATTTTAAAAAGTAAGCCCTTCTCAGGTGAATCCTATGAAGATACATCCATGTTAGTCTCCTTTTTTTCCCCCCATCTTCTCTTTTCTGAGATAGAAAAAGCTCTTTCTACAAGCCTTTAAATCACAGGCCTATATCCACCTTTTAGGAGCAACCCACTGCCTAACCCCAAGAGTTTATTTTACTTTAGGATTAAGCCATAAGGCACCTGCAGTAGTAGAGTCCCAAATCCACATCTAGCCATGAATAATACCACAGTGGAGGATAGGAGGCAGGGAGGTGAAGTAGTAGTTTCCCCCCAAGGTCCAGCTAACTCTCTCATTCTTCCTGGTTATCCAGCAGAGAAGCATTGGATTGACATTCACTGCAATTTTCTGCCAATATTATCAGATAATTTTCAGAAAATTGCAATCTCAATTCATATTAAGGAAGATAAATATTTCCTTAAATATAACATGTACTGACTTTATTCTTTAGAATGTGTCATTTCTCACAGATTCATTATCCTTCTTCTCATGCCCAGAGACCAAAAATCAGGAAAAGCAAAGCCTTTTTTATGCCACTGAGCCAGCTGCCCCTGATAACCATCGTCTGGTTACATCAAGGCCTGGCCACAGCATCTAAAAGTCCCTTTTCTTTCCCTCAAACTTGATCAGATTCCTGGGCATAGCATCCCTCATACTTGTTTCTGTAAACAGAGGGATCCAGTGAAGACTCACCATTGTCTTGTTTACAGTAACTGTTCTGTCGTCAAGAGAGATGTGCTACCACCTTCATTTGAAGTTAGAAGAAATGCTATTTAATACAAATAGAAACCAAATAAAAATTTTTTAACATACTTGCATTCTGAATCTGTGGCATGTTCGGGAAAAGTCCATGCATCAGTTCTATATGTTTTGTAAAATATTTAATGGTTGTTTGTTCCACTGTTCTAGGCAACACCTACTCGGGTTCTATATTTTGTGGGTAGTTCCTGGACAAGGCTGTTGTATTTATATGCTATCCAGTGGCAGGTATTCTGTAAGTTGCTCTGTATTAGAGTAGTCCAAAGAGTGCCATAAATATTTCTGCTCTTCAGTGTTCAGAGTCCCTACTCCCTCATCTCTTCCCTGTCTTCTCTTTCTCTGACTTCCCTTATTCCCTTTTTCTATCTCTTCCCTTTTCTGTCCCTATATTTTCTTCCCAGGATATCTGAGAACTAAGGATCAGAAGCAGATCTGAAGCATCAATAACGAGCAGTTCCAAATTACAGGAAACTAAAATTGAATACTATGCCTTCCCAGGTTCTTAGAAGTCAATGAATGTGAAGCAATATTTAGAGCCTGAAATTGATTTAATATCTGAGAAACATTTTCAAAAATCCATAGATGGGAAGATTAAGGAAAGCCTGACAGAAATTAAAAAGTAGTCCCTTTATTCAGTGGTTCCTAACAGAAGTGCAGGGGGAATAATTTGAAAGACGTGGATTCGACCCCTGCACAATTCCAATGGTAACTGACAAGACAGAAATGATTTGTCTAAACTAGGGGTAAGGAAATTATGGCCTACAGCCAAATGCAGCACACTGTCTTTTAGTGTTGATAAGGTTTTATTGAAACACAGCCATGTCCATTCATTTGCATGTTGTTCCTAGCTGCTTTTGCACTGCAGTGGCCAGGTAGTTGCCGCAGAGACCTTGTGGTCCATACAGCCTTACAGATTCACTCTCTGGCCCTTTACAGAAAAACTATTGTAATATCTGGAAAATGTGTGGCTAATGTATTAATGTGAACAGAAACAAGATCTCTAAAAGTATATTGTCATCAAGTTTGTATTTTGTATTGTCTTTGTATTTTGAAGTTGGCGCTGCTGTTGTGATTGTTAGGACATGCATGTTTATGTCCTCAAGAGCTTATCAGTAGTTAAAAAGACTGATGTTCAGAGTCTTTTTCACAAATGAGACACATAAAATTTGGCCTTTGACTTAGTCATTGTTAAGTCTATCAGCAAAACCTCATACAGGCTTCTTAGAGACTTTTCTTAGTGCTGCTCCTGATTGCTATAAACCATGATGTTCCAACAACCTAAAGGCATTCATGTGATTGTTAAGAATATAAAGCCAAACTTCATTGCTTCAAATTCTGATTCTACAACTAATAGCTTTGCCTGTTTTCTTGTCTATATCAGTGGGGATAACAATAGTACCCATCTCACAGATAAAGATGCCTAGAATAGTGCTGGGCAATATGTACACTCAGTAAATATCAGCAGTAATCATTACTATTTGAAGGTATGCTACTCAGTTCTGAAACATGCAAAGTGTCTTTCAAGGGAGCAGTTATTCACTTTACCTTATAATTCTGGAATTGATTGTGTGGTCCATTTGAGGTATCATGATAAGCATGGCTATGTCATAGAATTAATTCATTAGTCAATCGGTATTTGCGGAGCATCCACCCCATGCAGAACAAGATATTAGAAACTGTGGGGATGCAAAGTAAACATGAGATACAGTCTTGTTCCTGGTAGAATTACTAGCATTGATATCTGGGGGAGCAGACCTATATACCCACAACACAAGCAAATAGACAAGAGACAGCGATTAGACTCTGGCATTCTTACAGTTAAAAAGGGCAAGGGAAATAAGAACATCTTTAATAAGGAATAAGGCATGGAGGTACAATGTAATTAGTCTTCACCACTAAAGTTACTGTTTATAAAAATTCAGATGGAAAAGAAAACTCTGCGAAACCTGTGGTGATCATGGAAGAAAGGCTTCATGGACAGGGAGGAATATGAGTTGATCTGAAGAGGTAGAGACAGCAAGGGAGGTCTTGCTGAGCAAAGGCTCACAAGGTGATTTGTTCATGGCACGGGCAGTGAATAGATCACACTGACTGGATATGAGGTGCAGTGGCCGGGGGCCATACGTGAGATGTAAACTTCACCTCCAACCTAATGGCATGAAATGAATGAAGACATAGAGGGGCCCGCTGTGGGCTTGGCATAGAAATTGCCAGCCTCCCAAGTTTCCAAACCATGGGCATTGGTTTGATGGTATTTCCTGCCTTTAAAACTTGTGCAGCTCTTGGCTAACTCTTGAATGCAATTCTGACTGTGGAGACAGGAAAGGAGGTTGGGGACAGGTCACTTTACCATTGACAGGTCACTTTAACATTAATATTGAGTAGGATAATGAAATGAAATGTTAGATTCCCAACAATTTATCAGATGGTTTTGGGGAGGATCACATAAAATCGATAAGGAAGCTAACAGGCCATGGTTGAGGTGTAAAGTGGGAAGCGTGTGATGTGGAGATAGATAAGAAAGACTTGCAGAGTGAGAACAGAAAAGGTTTATTACAGACTAGTCACAGGAAATGAAGGAGGGAGATGGGATAAATTACAGGTGGCATAAGGGCAGCCCCAGATTACTTTAGGAGTAATGATGCCCCGGCCACCATTGGGGAGTGGCGAGGAGAACAGACTCTGCCTTGTTGCTTTTAGTTCTCTGCAGGTGTGGGGTGGAAATCAATTGTCAGAAAAAGTGACTTTACAAACATCACACATAAATCTTTGCTGGATTCCTTTCGGGGTGGGCTTCAAAAAAAATGGTCATAGCTCTAGCCATAGCTTATAACATCCATACCTCATTAGCTAGAAAATATTTCCTACAAAATTGAAACTACAGTCTGTATGTGGGGAGCTGACTCAGCTCCAAGCTGTCCCTTTGGCAGCAATCTGGGAAGAAATACCCACCGTTGCAAGAGTGAGTGCCTCTCACACTGTGTGTCTGGTTTATAAAAAGTTAGTGCCCTAAACACAGTGCTCAGCTACCACGCTCTTTCCAAAATTTCTTCTGTGAACAGCCCACCACTCCACAGTCCTAAGAGGAGGACTTATATACCCAGTGGAGTGATGATAGGATGAAGAAAAAGGTGGGAGTATGTGTCTAAAATTTACCAACTTACAGTAGATCCCACTCTTTCCATTTAAACAGTCTCTTTTAAGTAAACACTTAGTCTTTCAGATTTCTTCCTTTCTCTGATAATCCCAAGATGCAGAACTTCAAGCCCCTTGAAAACTCAAGGTGTTAAGATACTCCCAAGATGAGATCCGGCTATTTGGAGGGGTTAAAAGATGTGAGGTGGCAGCAAGGAGACCCAAGATCTATGCAGCTGGTTTCTTTAGTTGGCCTTAGGACTCTATGGCCATGTGGTCATGTGGAGCCCTGGTCCCTGTAATGGAGTATAAGGGAGCAGCTAGGTAGAGATGCATTGCCCCCATCTACATCCAAGAAGCTAAGATTACACATTTTCCTGCCTCATGAGCTCCACTGCATTAGTGTCACTGATGCCAAATGAACAGGGCAGAGTAATGGCAGCCTCAATGCTTCACCAGTGGCAGGGCCCACTGGCCCAGCACCACCCACCAGAAGGCACAGCAGCACCCAGCTGACTACCCAGAATCCAGGGAAGTGAGTCTGAGCCAGAAATAGAGGAGAAAATAAGTGCTGATACTCATAAGCTCATTTGAGCCATACTTCCTGAGTACTTATTAAAAATGTATGTATTGGGTTGAGTTTTCAGGGGGCTTGAAGTTCTGCAATGTCATTTGGGGATAAAAGCCAGTACGGTATACAAGTTATGTAAATATTCAAACTGTGCATTATCGTGACTGTAGGCAGAGTCTCATTCTGTCGCCATAGTCAGCAGCTTTAAAAGAAGAAACTGCTCTTAGCCTCTGCTTAACAAGCACTCACTGACCCAGCCCCATCCTCTACCTTCTTAGGGCTGCTGTCTTCCACTTCAGCACCTAAGTTCTAGCATCTGGGATCCATTTTTGAGGGAGAAGGGCCAGTCTCCTTACACTTCTTATATACATTTTAAATTTGTTTCAAACTTCAAAGGTTTAACCAGATTATGATAACAGTAATGGCCAACATTTGTTGAATTCTTACATTATATTCAGCACATTTACCTATGCAATACACAGAGCAACATTTGGAGGTAGATAGTATTCTCCCCTGACCTTTTCATGAGGATGGAGGCACAGCAAGGTTACCTTGCTTGCTCTACGTCACATATCCAGTAAAGTGTCAGAATTAGAACACAAACCCAGACATTACACTTTCAGAACTATGCTCTTAATCAGAGGTAGATGATAGATTGATAGATAATAGATGATAGATACTGGCATGGTATCTGGAAAATTAGAGGAAAGCAATGTTAAAAGTAGAATCTCAGACCTTTATCTGTGGAAGGTACTTCAGAGCCCATCTAATCCAGTAGTTTCCAAACCAGACTAAATCCCCACTAGGGAGCAGACTCCAGGGATGTCATAGAGATTGAGGAAAAAAGGACAAGCAAACCAGCAGGGCTCAGAGCTCCTCCTTTCCTGCTATAACTTGAGCAATTCTGTATTTATCTGTTTTATGTTAGAGATTCTGTGTAAGAATCTTTTTATAGAAAGAATTATGCTGCTAAAAATAATCTGAGAATCACTGTTATCTATCCCAACACTTTCATCAAAAAATGGAAAACCGAGACCCAGCATTATCTGAATCATACAAGAAGGTTACGGCAAAGTTGAACCAAGCACTCACTCTCCTAACTCATTTGTGGAAAATATAGAATACCCACAGGTTACTTTCAGCATTCTTGTCAGGCCAGATAACCTACAGGTCACATGTGGCAGACTTCCAGATTAACCCACCTGAAGGAGGTCTTGGGATACATGGCTTACATCCTGTCCTTGAGCAAAGAATCTTATCTGAGTCCCTCAAATCTTATCATGAGTTCCTCCAACTGTTGATGTACTGATAAGTACATAACCTGCTGACATTGAAAAACACACCGACTTATTTCTGAATCATGAAGTTTTAAGGACTGTCTTGCACATAGAACATTTTGGCCTATATATTGTAATCTATAACCAATGACTGTACCTTCTGTATTGTACTCTCTAGTGAAAAGAACCTCATACCTCTGGTATGAGGAGTCCCCTACTCTTCTCCTAAACTTTCCTGTGAAAGCCTTCTGTATTAGTCCATTCTTGCACTGCTATAAAGAACTACCTGAGGCTGGGTAATTTATAAAGAAAAGAGATTTATAAAGGCAGAAATACCATTTAACCCAGCAATTCCATTATTGGGTTTATACCCAAAGGAATATAAATCATTCTATTATAAAGACACATGCACGCATATGTTCACTGCAGCACTATTCACAACAGCAAAGACATGGACTCAATCCAGATGCCCATCAATGATAGACTGGATAAAGAAAATGTGGTACATATACATCATGGAATACTATGCAGCCACAAAAAGGAACAAGATCATGTCCTCGGTGGGGACATGGATGGAGCTGGAAGCCATTACCCTCAGCAAACTAATGCAGGAACAGAAAACCAAACACCATATGTTCTCACTTATAAGTGGGAGCTGAATGAGAAGACACATGGACACATGGTGGGGGGAGCAGCACACACTGGGGCCTGCCAGAGGGTTGGGGAGGTGGGGGAGGGAAAGCATCAGGAAGAATAGCTAATGGATGCTGGGCTTAATACCTCAGTGATGGGATGATCTGTGCAGCAAATCACCATAGCACACATTTACCTTGTAACAAACCTGCACATCCTGTACATGTACCCCTGAATTTAAAAGTTGGAAATCAAAGAAAAAAAGATTTAATTACGCTAACAGTTCTGCAGGCTCTACAGACTTCTGTTTCTAGGGAGGCCTCAGGAAACTTACAATCATGGCAGAAGGTAAAGAGGAAGCAAGCATGTCTTCACATGGCCAGAGCAGGAGAAAGAGAGAGAGAAGGGGGAGGTGCCTCACACCTTCAAACAACCAGATCTCATGAGACCTCTTTCACGAGAACAGCAAGAAGGAAGTCCAACCCCATGATTCATTCACCTCCCATAAGGCCCCTACTCCACCACTGGGGATTATAATTCAACATGAGATTTGGGTAGGGGGACACAGAGTCAAACCACATTAGCTTCCAACTTGTAACAGACTCTGGAACACACCCAACTTTGTTGATGTGTCTTTCCAGGTCCATCCTCACATTTGGCTTCCAGTAAAACTTTATCAGATTTTTCCTGCCTCAACAGCCTTCATTTTGGCCAACAGGCAGCTATTGTTGATGAAACTGACTCTTGTTTTTCATAGATTAGGGGAAGGGTGAAGATTACCAGGTTATGACAAATGACAATCCTTCAATATTAAGGTAAATGTGATCTGGAAGAAAAAAATTGTAAAGGCTTCTTATTCTATCACTTGCCACCTGCCTCTTGCTTAGGAGTTGTTCCTGTGGTTTACTTGAGTTCTTTACTCACGATAGAGAACTATCTGCTAGTTCTGTGTCTGATGCTGTGGGCCAAAATTGCTGAACCGAGAACAAGGGCTTCATAAGCAATCCTTATCCAAGGTCAGCTGTGTCCTCTTAAGTATCAAAGAAGGATTGCTTTGCTGTCAGAGAATTCCTAAGTTTGATATAAGGATGAAGTACAAATGTTTTGCTGCAAGGAGCACATGAAAGCAATACCACCTGTTTGGCTGTTTAGATCATTCAAAACAAAAGGTGTACCTTGACAGAAGCAACTTACAGGCTCTGAAACCTGAGGTTATTGTTCCAGACACACCTAGTGAAACGAAGGCTGTTTCACAAGAACAGATGTACATGATTAATCAAACACATAGATACTAAAATGCACGCACACATACACACACAGCACAGTGCCCATTTATTAACTCACAATGAGAAATTCTGCAACCAAATAGACGGCACTGTTCACATCTGCAAAGTATTGCTTTCCTTCCCATTAAGCAAGTGATGCACATAGCAGGTGATCAATATATATCCATTGAATTAATGAGGGAAATCAAATTATAAGCAGAATGTTAAGTCATTGAATTACAGTGAGAAATGCAATTCTCAAAGAGAGTGGATGATCATACAGCCCCAGTCAGCACATTCACTTACCATCAACAAATGGCTTGTATTGGAAACAAGCTATCAGAAGGCTGGGGAGAAATCATGGAATCGGAGTTAAGGGAGACAGTATCTTAAGAAATGACTCTCAAGAAGGGACAGTTAAGGCCTTTTTATCTAACATTGAATTAGATATTCCAAGGAAAACACAATTGAGCTAGTGGATTGAGTCCACTAGCCAGGACTCCTCTTTCCGTGGTGAGTTGGGATGGCGCATGCCCACACCTGCCTCTAATTCTCATTCTGTAATCGCATGGCTCACCAGATTCACAGCAGTCTCACCAGCCTGAAGATGGTTCTAACGCTTTTTCCTTGAGTTGCCCAGCTCTGCTGTGATCCATAAGGCACTGCTTTTAAAATTGAAACTTTCAAAAACTGTCTTATTTCCTTTTTTGTGTGGAGGAAGGAAAGAGGAAGAGATGAAACATGTTGTAGCCTGTTGGTAACCACAACCCAAATTACATAAAATGAATTATTTCTTATTTTAGTAATTCTGTAAGTTTTAGAAGTCCATATAGAGAGAATGTTTATGCTTGACAAACTAATATAAAGCATCTTTTATGAGACAATTGCTAATGTCTATCACATTTAGACTAGCATTATGAATAATTATGAATCAATTACATTTTCCAACTCTGTACTGAAAGTATGTTTTTAGATCCCTATCAAGCTGATGTTATTTAAAGCATTTAATTTATTGATGTATTAAACATGTGTTATAATAAATGCTATGCCAACAAACATAAAGACAGACTCACCAATATTTTATGAGACAAAATAGATCACTTCTAATAATTTCATGTCACATCTTCCTTCCACTAAAACTCAGCCATCCATCCTTGAGTTTCAAACCTACCGCTCCATCCTAAGTATAGCAAGGGTTCAAATAGAGGTATCTTATAGCACATCCTCCCATCCTCCGTTTTAGCAAACTTCTACTAGCCTTGTTGGGTGTCCCTATTCTGAATTTAAAGACCTTACATCAAGAACATGTATCTTCCTCTCTTCCTGTAATAGAAATATAACAAAAATGTCACAAAGGCAACAGAGAGTCCAGGAGATGGACAAAGAAACAAAAATCCCCCCTGGATGCAAAAGGGTCAAGGCCAGTGAAACTCTATCTGAAATTACCAGCTCTGGGATTTTTCCAAAAACAAATGAAAGCCTACATAGAGCATGCATTCCAGGGATTATGAACTCATTTTGGCTTATGCTCTTTAAAAAGGTCTACAGCTGCATTCAAAATATATCCAGCTCATCTGTAGGCCTGGGGACTGACATGAAGCCAAGAGCCCCAGCTGGGACATGCAGGCAGGAATCAATTTAAGCCTTTCTGGCAGGACATGAGGTGGTTTGTTATAATGCATGTTAAGGAGGGAAACCAAACCATGGAGAATTGGGTGTTTATCTTTCCTGAGTATTAAAGAGATGATAAATTGATGGATGAAAGTATATAGGAGATTCTCACAAAGCTATTGTGCATGCTGGGTAGGCGCTGTGTCAGTTTCACAATGAAGACTTAATAAAAATAAATCAGGGTTTGAGAATTAGGGAAGTCCCAACCATGCTGTTGAGAGAAGAAAGATCACCTGGGGCTTCAAGCCCTGACTTAGTAGAAAAGACAAGGCATTCATTTGTAGACACCTCAACATTAGTAAAGTAATAAAGCTCCCAAAGTTCTTAGAATTCTACATTTTTATTAATAACCACTGCCAAGGGAGCTAGTAACTGTATTAGAGAACCATATTTCAAAAGTAAAAATGATACAGGAGAGGAATATTTAAAGCCTGAGATCAATTTTATAAGTACCAAGTGAAGTGATCTATAAATATAGTTATAATCCAAGATGTGCCTATTTGGGTTACGAGAATTCAAATTTATGAAGCATTTCATGTAATATCCCTTCCTTTGGCTTCTGAGGCACTTCTTCCCATTAATAGAAACCAATTTGGATTTTCTTGTGCCACATGCAGTCATCTTTGCAGATGTAGTTAGCTCGAATTGCATTAAATTATCCTCTCAGGAAACTCATGGTATGCTCATTTATAGCAGCAGAAATAACCTCAGGAATCATGCCATTTATGACGTCAACTTGTCTATTTAGTATGATGTCACTCGCATTGTTTCACTGCATTCCTTTTTCTTTGAGTTGTGTTTATTGTTGTTACATTTTTACTTGCTTTGCAATACAGTTTGAATTGTGCTATTGTCCTACAATAGTAAAAGAATATTAATATATAATTTGGGGGCATTGACAATATGTGGTGTACTGTGCTAAACATTTTGCACATATTAATTTATTAATCCTCACTCAATCCTAAGAGGTGGGTACTATTATTATCCCATTTTTCTGCTGAGGGAGCTGAGGCACAGATTAATTAAGCAATCTTAATCTTGAAACTACAGAGTTAGTAAGTGGCAGAACTACATCTGAACGTAGTACGTAGTATACTGTGATAAGGGCTGTAAAATTGCTTAACAAGAGCAAGTAAACAGCTGTTTTCTAAGTAATAAAGATATAACACCTTGTCAGGGGCTATTATAACTTATTTTAACAGCTATTCAAATAATTGTGCCCAATTTAATGGGATATTATATTGTTTTAGTGTAAGTGGATGCCAGTTTGAGGGCTTAACACATGACTTAACAAAACATGCACAGGATCTGCATACTGAAAACTAGACAATGCTGATGAAAAAAAAATCAAAGAAAACCTAAATAGAGAGACATAGCATTCATATGTTAGAAAATTCAACATAGTGGAGTTATGAAGTATCCCCAGACCTATAGTTTTAGCAGAATTTCTGTCAAAATCTCAGCAAAGATTTTTATAGACATAGTTTATTCTAAAATTCATATGAAAAGGCAAAAAAAATCTAGAATAGCTAAAACAATTTTGAAAAAGGTGAATAAAGTTAAAGGAGTCACTCTACCCAATGCTGAGGCTCATTGCATAACTGCAGTAATCAAGACAGTTGGCACTGGTGGAGGGAAAGACACATGGATCAATGGAACAGAACAGAGAAGCAGAAATGATCCACAGATGTATATCCAAGTGATTTTTAACAAAAGTGCAAAAGCAATTCAATGGAGGGAGGGCAGGCTTTTCAACAAACAGTATTGCAACATTGAACATCCACAGCAGAGAAAAAAGAAAAAGAAAAAAGAAGGAAGCTCCACTTAAATTTGATACCTTAAAAAAATAACACAAAATAGATCACAAACTTAAATATGAAGTGTAAAACTATAAAACTTTTATGAAAAAACATAGGAAAACATCTTCAAGATCCAGAGCTAGGCAAAGTGTTCAGACTTGAAATCAGTAATGCAATTCATAAAAGGGGAAATAGATAGATTGTACTTCATGACAATTAAAAACTTTTGCTCTGCAAAAGACCCTATTAAGAGGATAAAAATGTAAGCTAGAGATGGAGAGAAAACATTTACAAATCATGTGTCAAAGGACTAGTATCTAGAATATAAAAAGAACTCTCAAAATTCAATGGTAAAAAAAAGAAATAATCCAGATCAACTAATAGGGAAAAAAATACTTTTTAGATACAAAAGGAATAAAAGACCAAAAACTGTTTTAAAAAAGCACACAGTCCAATCGAAAAACTGACAAAGGACATAAACAAACATTTCATTGAAGAGAATATATAAATGGTAAATAAACATGCAAAACTATATTCAACATCGTTAGCAATTAGAACACTGTACATTAAAACCAAAATGTTAAAAATGGCTGGCCGGGTGCAGTGGCTCACGCCTGTAATCCCAGCGCTTTCGGAGGCCGAGAGGGGCGGATCACAAGGTCAGGAGATGGAGACCATCCTGGCTAACACGGTGAAACCCCGTCTCTACTAAAAATACAAAAATAAAAAATTAGCCCGGTGTGGTGGCAGGCGCCTGTAGTCCCAGCTACTCGGGAGGCTGAGGCAGGAGAATGGCGTGAACCCTGGAGGCAGAGCTTGCAGTGAGCCAAGATCACGCCACTGCACTCCAGCCTGGGCAACAGAGCAAGACTCCGCCTCAAGAAAAAAAAAATGGTTAAAAAAAATTTTAAAGAATGATAACACCAAATGTGAGCAAGAATGCAGAGAAATTGGATCATTCTTGCGTTGCTGATGGGAATGTAAAATGACACAGCCACTCTGAAAAAATGCTTGGCAGTTTCCTACAAAATTAAAAATTAAATATGCACTTGTCATATGATTTGGCAATTGCACTCTTAAGGTATTTATTCCAGAGATATGAAAGTGTTCACCAAAAAATAATCTGTACATAAATGTTGATAGCTGCTTTATTCATAATACACAAAACCCAGAAATAATCCAAAAGTCCTTCAGTGGGTGAATGGCTAAACAAATAGTGATATATCCATATTATGAAATACTAGATAGTAATAAAAAGGAATAAAATATTGACAGATAAAACAATTTGGATAGATCTTAGGGAAATTATTCTGGAAAAAAAAAAAGCCAATCTCAAAAACGGTTACATTATGTATGATTCCGTTTATTTAACGTTCTTGAAACAACAAAATTATAGAAATGGAAAACAGATTCGTGGTTGCCAGGGGTTAGGTTTGGTAGGGAAGGTGGTAGGTATGGCTATGAGGAACAACGAGAGGGAGACTCGTGGTGGCAGAAGAGCCTTGTAGCTGGATTGTGGTGTTTGTCACACAAACCTACACATGATAAAACTGCATACAACTACACACACACACAATCTATGCATGTACATAGATTGCACCAATGTCAATACCCCAGTTTTAATGGTTATGCAAAAATGTTACCGTTGGGGGAAACTTGGTGAAGGGTACCCAGGAACTCCCTGTCCCTGTACATTTTTTGGCGACTTCTTGTGAATCTATAATTCTTTAAAAACAAAAAGTTAAAACAAAACATGAAATTCTTCCCTGTTTCAATTATTTGTAATTACATTTTTTATTTATGATGATTTATTCCTTCAATAATTTTTTCAGGAATAAATTACCCTTGAAAAACAGAAGAAGGCTGTTCAGATAAAACATTATCCTTTTCCTTTCAAGCAGAATGCTTCCGAGAGGGGTTTGGAATAAGATGAAATGTACATTATATCCTGGGTTTCCCTCTCTGAAGAATCCATACCAACTCCCAACATTTTGATACCAAAAAAACTAGGTTCTATTAATATCAAGGACAAACTTGAGAACATAAGTCACCAAAAGACAACATTCAGACTGACAAATTTATGCATTATGGTTTTTGTTGAAATCAAAAACAAGTCTTATAAACTCTATAGCAAATTTAAACATCACTTTTTAACAAATAAAAAATGCACCATTTGCAAAAATTTACATTTAAGCTACATGGCACTTAATTGGTGTATCTATAGATAGCTATACTATATATCTCTATCTATTTTTATTTGGCATATTCCAACATGATTTCTTAGAAAGACCATCAGGCTCTCACCATCAGGAAGTGGTGGGGGCTTGGAATGGAAAAACATCTCAAGAGTTTATGAAAAAGGAGTTGAGGCTGAGTGCAGTGGCTCACGCCTATAATCCCAGCACTTCGGAAGGCTGAGGCGGGCAGATCACGAGGTCAGGAGTTCAAGACCAGCCTGGCTGACATGGTGAAACCCAGTCTCTACTAAAAATACAAAAAATTAGCCGGGTGTGATGGCAGGCACCTGTAACCCTAGCTACTCGGGAGGCTGAGGCAGGAGGATCACTTGAACCCAGAAGGCGGAGTTTGCAGTGAGCTGAGACCATGCCACTGCACTCTAGCCTGGGCAACAGAGCGAGGCTCTGTCTCAAAAAAAAAAAAAAAAAAAAAAACGAAAAAAGAAAAAGGAGTTGAAAATGACTCCTGTATGGATTCTGTGCTTTTAACAAACATCATTTGAAAGGTTTAATAGTAGATGAGTAGAAACATATAGACCACATTTACCTACCTTTCAAGTGTATATGAATATAAAAGTTCAGGGAAATTTCTTTGGCAAATCTCAGAACATTTTCTCAATGATTTAGTGTATGTATAAACATCAAAAATGTGTCTAGATTTTTCAACTAAAACCTTTCTATGGTGCATATTTATGGTTTTAAAGGATGGTTTCAATGTTCATAATAATTCAAAAATAACACATTCAAATCAGAGATTGCTTAGCTCTCCCATAAAATAAAAAAGATGTCTGCTAAAACACTATATAAAAAAGTTTGTTCCTGGAGCTAGCTAAGGAAGTAGGTGAGGGTTCTATGATTCCAGTTAACGAACGTTTCACTCCAATGCATGACTCAATGTAGTCTAGGCTGGTTTGTGATGTCCAGCATTCATTCTGTTTCTTTGTCACAAAATCCAAAGCTCTTCACCATATGGTGTCATTTTTGAAATGTTAATCTGAGCACAGCTTGTGATGCCAGTTAGGTTTCCAGCTGGTCTCTGTATTGGCTATTTCACAGACATTAGCCCTGTTTTGAATTAAACTAAATTAGGGAATAAAATGAGATATTGTCATGCAAAGTCAGGCAATATTATTTGACATCTGCACCATCTCTGAGAGCTTTATTGAGTGGTTATTTTTAAATGTAAACTAAGAAAGAAAGAATATACAAACAACTTAAGGTTAGATAACATATTAATGTAGCATCTTAGGAGATAATAACAATACTTGAAGAATGATATCCATCCACACCCTACATCTATTTGGGCCAGAGGGAAGGAAGTAAATAGCCTTTTCTAAGACATTTACAGACCCAGTGCATCATTTTTGCCTGGCTAAGGAAACAGCCATTAAGATGTATGTGGATCAGAAATGCACGTGTTTGCTTTTTATTTTTTCACCTTCCTGTCATTTCCAAAAGACACTTACTTGAAAGTAAAGAGATGGATAAAAGGAATTCACTCCTCTTTGCATAATAATTTAGCATGCTAAATGCACTGGAAGAGAGGAATCTTGCTGATAACTACACACGGTTGGCATTTGGTGTGGCTAAACATTTCTCATTCTCCTGTGGCTTTACTGTCCCCTGCCTGAGAATCAGAATTTGTCCATGGCAGATGTGTATCTGTGTGTCTCCTGCACGGATGAGGCTATATCCATGGACACTGTTACTCACAGGAAAATCAGAAACAAAAATTCGTATCTGCAACTTACAATGGGGATAGACCTTGAAAAGGACTAGACTTGCAATGCCTAAATTCCTCCCCACCATCCCTCTCAAAAGTTTTCTGCAGAACTTGGGAAATCAAGGGTCATTAAAAACTATTCTGCTGTGACTGTAGAGCCTAATTCTACCCCAAATCCCCAGACTTGTTGCAAGGCTTTGCTTTGAGGATAGAGATGGGTCCAGTGTGTGCACAACCCTGTGGGTCAGGTGGTTTCCTGTGGAGTCAGTCCAGGTTTGCCCAAGAAGATCTGAAGAGAGGCTCTCACAGAGGAGGGTAGACCTGTAATTGTGTGAGCAAGGGCAGGAATCTGGATGTGTCCTACGGAGGACTAACTGTGAAAGCTTTAACTTCTTGAAAGCGTTCCTTTTGAAATTTTTTTCCTTTTGACAGTTCTAAGTATCTTTCCATGTAAGCTCCTTTTAATAGAGCCCCAACCCTTCAGTGACCTCTGGTCTACCCATCCAACTGGATATTCCAGTGGTGCAGAAGAAAGGAAGGACAGGGGGTGAAATGTACCTCACATTTGACCCTGGCCACTTCCTCTTTCTTACCCTACATCCTTGCCTCATCAAGGAGGCCCGCAGTCCCGAGTTCCAGGTCCCCAGCTGATGACTGAAGAGATTAGAGACTGTGTTATGGACTGAATGTTTGTGCCCTCCTCAAAACTCATGTGTTGAAACCCTAACCCTCAATGTGATAGTATTAGGTGGTTGACCTTTGGAAGGTGATTAGGTCAGGAGGTTGGAACTCTCGTGATGAGATTATAGAAGCAAAAGAGTTTCCTTACAAAGAATCTTATAGTCTGGCTACAGTGGCTCACGCTTATAATCCCAACACTGTGGGAGGCTGAGGCGGGCGGATCACTCAAGCCCAGGAGTTCTAGACCAGCCTGGGCAATGTGGTGAAACCCCATCTCCACTAAAACTACAAAAAAATTAGCCAGCTGTAGTGGCACACACCTGTAGTCCCAGATACTTGGGAGGCTGAGATGGGAGGATTGCTTCAGCCTGGGAGGCAGAGGTTGCAGTGAGCTGAGGTAGTGCCACTGTACTCCAGCCTGGGTGACAGAGTGAAATTTTGTCTCAAAAAAAAAAAAAAAACCAGAATCTTATGAGAAGAGAAAGGGATATTCTGTCTCTCTCTCTCTCTCTGTCTGTCTGTCTCTCTCTCTCTCTCTCTTCCTAGGAGAGTCACCCAGGAAAGCATGCACATAGAAAAGGCCATATGAACACACAGCTAGAAGGCAGCTATCTGTAAGCCAGGAAGACAGCCCTCACCAAAAACTGAATCTGCCAGCACCTTGATCTTGGACTTCCCAACCTCCAGAATCATGAGAAATAAATATCTATTAAATGTCTATTAAATAATTAAGCCCATCTAGTCTCTGGTATTTTGTTACAGCAGCCCAAGCTAAAATAGATTGCAACTCAGATAAGAAATAGAGATGAAATAATCAGGGTCTGATTTCTTAAACTTCTTTCTTTTCCAGAATGAGTTCATGTTCTTTGCAGGGACATGGATGAAGCTGGAAACCATCATTGTCAGCAAACTAATACAGGAACGGGAAACCAAATACTGCATGTTCTCACTCATAAGTGCGAGTTGAACAATGAGAACACATGGACACAGGGAGGGGAACATCACACACTGGGGCCTGTTGAGGGGTGGGGGGAAAGGGGAGGGAGAGCATTAGAAAAAACAGCTAATGCATGCGGGGCTTAAAACCTAGATAAGGGGTTGATAGGTGCAGCAAACCACCATGGTATTTGTATACCTATGTAACAAACCTGGACGTTCTGCACATGCATCCCAGAACTTAAAGTAAAATAAAAATAAAATAATAAAATAAATATAAGAAAAATAACTTTTTTCTTTTCCAAATACCCTACAAGGATGGTGATCCCAAAAGCTGTGCAAAACCAGCTCTTATGTTAGACTAGATGACATTTATTATTTTCCAAGTGCCAGCTGTCCTGACCACTTCACTTGCATTATATTTGAACAACAATGCTGTGAGGTAAATGCAGTCACTTTCCTTGTTTTACAGATGAATGAGGCGAGACTTGATTAATTAACTTGCCCACTATCAGAGAAATGGAAAGCAGTGCATTCTACTTTGAAAACAGGTGGTTTGACTCCAAAGTCTATGTACCAACCACTATTCTAATCCAGCCATTTTCTGACTTTCCTTGAGTTAATAACTCAATTCTTTTGTACTTTTATGCTCCACATTTTTTCCCAGAAGCTAGAACTTTCCAAAACTCTTACTTCTTGCTTTGACCCTATCATTTTCTGCTCAAGAAGTTTGTTGGCCCCTTCTTCTGTGAAAGGCTCTCAACCCAGCAAATACATAAGGGTAGGTCTGGGCAGAGTACTTGTCATTAACTAGTATCATTCTTTCAAGAATCTACTTTTCTCAGATGGTATGGTAGTCTGTATTCCTTTTTCCAAATCCATATTTGGTGCCCCTCTGTGTGGAAGGACGGCATTTCCCCACACTACTGCACTCAGGCAGGGCCCTGTGATTTGCTTTGGTCAGTAAAATGTGAGCAGAAGCGACATGTGTCTCTTCCAGACAGAAGTTTTAAGAGCCAGCACCTGCTTTGCTATGGGCTATTTTTTCTTTGTCTGAGCAACTGGAAATATTCAGCTGGAAACTACTCCACCTTTCTGGGTCCTAGGCTGAAAATGACATGAGGCAGAACCTCAGCCAAGCCACTATAGATATGGAGCATACTGAGTAAGAGACAAATCTTTGTTGTTGGTGGTCACTGAAATGTTGGGGTCCTTTGTTACTGCAGCATCGCCTAACCTAACTGACTGATACAAGTGGATAACCAGTATTTCTAAAGCTGCCTCCTACTTCAGGGTTTGATTTATCCTCCAGGCGATATTTACCAATGTCTGGAGACATTTTTGGTTGTCACAAGTGGAGGCATGCTACTAACACCTAGCTAGGGAAATGCTGCTAAATATCCTACAATGAGCAGAACAGTCCCCCACAACAAAGAATTATCCAGCCTGCCTAAAATGGCAATATTGCCAAAGTTAGGTCTACACTAACCATCAAAATGATCCAACTTATTGATGTATCATTAGCAGTGATTTATTTCCAAGGAAATAGAATGCCCCAGTAGTCTGAATAGCTTAAAAAAAATAGTTAATTTTGTTTGTTTTTTGACTAATACAAAGTTCAACACTGGGCAGTCCAAGAATGGTATAGGGGCTGAGAGATGTCATCAGGAGTAAGGCCCTTCCTACTATCTGTGCTGCCATTCTTAGTATGTGAGCTCATTAAATTCATGAGCATGAGAAAGCTGCTGCTCCTCCAGCCATACACACAGATTCTAAGCAAGACAAAGCAGAGAGGCAAAGATCTGAGCCAACCGCATCAAATCCATTTCATCAGAAAAGCCAAAGCTTGTCCATACACCCCTCAGAAGATCCTCCCTTAGGTCTCATTGCTCAAAGTTTCTCCACTTAGCAACGCAAGTACCAAAGGAAGCTGGGACTGTGCATATTTAGCTTTCCCAGTCTTTATAGTAGAAAAGGCAAGAGGATAAAAGATTGAGAATCAGTCTTTAGAGAGCAATCTTACAGTATCTGTCTTTCTCTGGCTTTAGCCTATAGACCAGTTACACTGACTTGTGCCATGAGTGAGGAAGGGGGAAGATGACATGCAAAACTGTTTTGAGACCTATGGTCACGGTTCCATAGACAGCTTTGTGAAGTAGGATGAAAAGAACCTCCTCCTTTTCCTTCCAGTGTCCCTTCCAGGCATTCCAGTGAGTCATCCTCCTGTTTCAAGCTCATGCCCAAACCCAAGCACCTGTCCTGCGGTCTTCACAGCCTGCCAGAGGATACCTGTAGAACTACATGAAGACAGGTTTTCTCAGCATGGCCTCATGCAAATTCTAGGATGTGGAGGCAACTAACTAGCTAGGAGCGAGGCATTCTTGGACAGTAGTGTGGGAAGCTAGCAAAAAGACAAGAACAGTGACCTTTGGCCTAGAAAGTCCTAAATTATTGGCAATGGCTTTGTCTTTCATCTCAACTCTCACCACAACTCCACATCTGACTAGTTAGTCCTTCTGAGGGTTTGCAATCTATGACTCAGTTAATAGGGGCAATATGTGCCCAGGAGGACTTCTAATAGAAAATGCATCCATATGGAAATGCAATCCAAAAGCATCAAGGAGCACAGATGATGAATTATGATAACCTTAGCTCATTCAGTAAGTCAGCAAAAGTGTGTGTCACAGTAAATTAAAAATGACTAAACACTAGCCTTTTTGCCCATTTTAAGTAATATTCCTTAATGACCTTAAATGAAACAGAAAATTAAAAATCTGTGAGATGAAGAGAAGAGCAAATTGAAATACTTACTCAGATACAGGATGAAAGCAGCAAAAAGTTAATAGTTATTTCTATGTTTAGTGCACTGATGGAAAAAATGAGTTGTCATAATTTCTTTACAATGTTACAATGTGAGTGCTATTCTTAATGTACTTTTCAGTCAAAGGCAGAGCCAAAGAGATAAGAAAGGTAATATATAGAAAAATGACTCAGTGTGTAGGCTAGATCAGAAGTTGGTGCATATGTAGAGTACTTAACTTCTTCCAGGTTTTATTACTACAGTGATTCCTTATTCAGGAATAGAACTCTTAGCTACTAGCCCCTAAATGAATGGAGAGCTGTATGCTGCACAGCTTGGAAACTGGAAACTGATTTAGATGTCATGATTTCTAAGCCTATGTGTTGGCACTTAAAACCTCTCAGAATTAACTTCTATATCAAAGTTGACCCAATGAAATGAAAACACCAAGAGATCATCACACTGTTCTTGGGGATAGGAGGCTTCGTTGGTGTTGTAAACAACAACAAAAGAAAGCACTGAATCTGGGGCCAGAAAATGTACTTCAATCTTTGCCTCCACCACTTATTTACTAGATATGACACTACGGGCAGGTCTTTACATCTCTCTAAACCTCAGTTTCCTCCAAAATCTACATAAGTTATCTGCTACTGAATAACAATTTATCCCCAAAACTTAGCAGCTTAAAACAACAATAAAAATTTATTATCTCACATAGTTTCTGTGGGAGAGTTCAGAAGCAACTTACCTGGGTGGTCCAGACTCAGGGTCTCTAGTGAGCTATTGAGATACTGACCACAGCAGTATTCATTTTAAGACTTGACTGGCCCTGGAGAATCCTGTTCCAAGATGCTTACTTATATGGCTTGCAAATTAGTACTGACTACAGGACCACTCACTACGTGGACTCTCCTCAGGCCTGTTTGAGCTTCCTTGCAACATGGAGGCTGGCTTCCTCCAAAGGAATAAGCATAAAAGGACTTTTTAAATCATAACACTCTTTACAATTATTATAAGTGTTTCATCCTAATTCCATCATATGATCAAGAATGTACACTTGGTAACAGGGTTGGTCAAGAAATCTATGTGTATGTCCATATATATATATGTGCTTTTTAACTGACTTTAATTGTTATCAAAAGTATACATGTACATGGTTTTAAAACTCAGATAGTGGATAGTGCCATCAGGTTTACAGAAAAAAAAAAGTCAGGCACATACCCTATTCCTGTACTTCCAAAAATAACCACTTTTAATCTTTTAGCATTTTAACTCAACCTATACAAATAACCTGCATGAACTATTTTTTTAATTTATAATTTTAGAAATAATTTATTGGCTTCCTAATATTAGAAGTTTTAACTCTAATACCATATTCACCTCTTCCTCAATTCCCAAAAATATAATTTCAAGAAAATCAATATTCAGTCTGTGCATAATAATATTGGTGTAAATTTGGGTCTTAGCTAAGCTGTATAAGGTATTAGGTAATTTCTTTTTAATGATGATATTCATTTTATCTGCAAAGGAGACTAAAAGCTATAAGTTTTTTTTAGTATTATGAGATACAGAGAAATTAAACAGTTTCTTCAAGGTTTAATTAGCAATGTCATTTTGAGACATATTTATTCAATGCTTAGCAAGGTAGTCTGGTGACATTTTTTTAATCATGTAAAAAAAAGCCAGGAGCGGTGGCTCCCACTTGTAATCCTAGCTACTCAGGAGGCTGAGGCAGGAAGATTGCTTGAGGCCTGGAGTTTTGAGATTAGCTTGGGCAACATAGTAAGACTCTATCTTTAAAAATACAAAAAATAAATTAGCTGGGCACAGTAACATGAGCCTGAAACTGTTGTCCTAGCTATTCAAGGGGCTGGAGTGGGAGGATTGCTTGAGCCCAGGAGTTTGAGGCTACAGTGAGCTATGATCACCACTCAGCTTGGTGACAGAGTAAGACCCTGTCTCTAAAATTAATTAACTAAAAAGCCTTTTAAAATAAAATATACTTAACAAAAAATTTACCATCTTAATCATTTTCAAGCAGACAGTTCAGTGGCATTAAGTACATTCACATTTTTATGTGACTATCACCACCATCCATCTTCAGAACTTTCTCATCTTCCCAAACTGAAACTCTGTGCCCATCAAACTATAACTTCCCATTACTTCACTCTTCTGGCAATCGCCATGCTATTTTGTATGAATCTGACTGTTTTAGATACCTCATATAAATGAAATCATACACAATATTTATCCTTTTGTGACTAATTTATTTTCACTTAGCATAATGTCTTCAAGATTCATCCATGTTGTAGCATGTGTCAGAATTTCCTCCCTTGTTAAGGCTTAATAATATTCCATCGTATGTATATACACATGTGGTTTATCCACTCTTTCAGTAGATATTTTGGTTGCTTCCACATTTTTGCTATTATGAATAATATGCTATAGACTTGGGAATACAAATATCTCTTCAAGTCTCTGCTTTCAAGTCTTTGGGGTATATACAAAGAAGTAGAATTGCCAGATCCTATGATAATTCTATATGTAATTTTCCTTTTTTTTTACGTAATGGCCATCCTAATGGATGAAGTGGTATCTCATTATAGTTTTCATTTGTATTTCTGTAATGAACTGTGATTTTGAACATCTTTTCATGTGCTTATTGGCCATTTATAAATCATCTTTGGAGAAATGTCTAAGTTTTTGCCCATCTTAATTAGGTTGGTTTTTTTCTTGTTGGATTGTAGTTCTTTTTGTATCCTGGATATAATCCGTTATCAGATACATTATTTGAAAATATTTTCTCCCATTCTGTGAGTTGCCTTTCCAATCCGATAGTATCTTTTGATGCACAAAAGTTTTTAATTTTGAGGTAGTCCCATTTGTCTACTTTTGCCTTTGTTGCTTGTGCTTTTGGTGTTACATCTAATAAGTCATTGCCAAATCCAGTGTCATGAAGCTTTTTCCCTATGTTTTCTTATAACAGCTTGATAGTTTTAGCTCTTGCATTAAGGTTTTTGACCTATTTTCAGTTAATTTTTGGATATGGTGTAAGGTAAGAATTCAACTTTGTTCTTTTTCAAATGAATATCCAGTTTTCCCTGCACAATTTGTTGAAAAGAATGTCCTCTCCCCATTAAGTAGTCTTGGCAGCCTTGTCAAAAATCATTTGACCATATATGTGAGAGTTTACTTCTGCGTTTGTATTATGTAATGTACAACTTTTTGTTTTCTTTTGAGTTAATAATTGCCTTATCCTTTCAATTGCTCCATTTCCATGTACCTATCATTAATTCACACCCAACTGGCCCAGATATATAAAATTCCTCTCATTATAGTTTTTAAAATCTGGCAGTAGATCGGTTTGATACATTTTCTTGATTGTTTTGGGGACATTGCTCTCAGATCCCTCTGCCTCCCTGCTCCTCTTTGAGGACTTCTGCACAGCTATTATGTTTCTTTTCACTGTCATCCTGGGAATTCCCATTGCTGCATCTTGTGGCAGGTGCCCCATACCCAGGATTCCTTATGTCTTCCTTCTTTACTCACTCATGTTGGTGAAGCACATCATTCAACTTTCTGAATATATTTATTCCATCCTAACACTTTAGTTTTCATATGAGAAAGTATGGAATTCTAGATTTGAAATATATTATCTCAGAATATTGAAGGCTTGACTCCATTGGCTTCTAGCTTCCAGCATAACTGTTAAGAAATCAAATTTTAGATAACAGGACATCAGTAAAAAGATTGTGGGTGGGAAATTTCATGGTCATATCTTTTTCAAGTAGATCACATTGACTGCTGTGTGACAGACGAAGCTAAGAGGTTCAGAAACCAGTTGGAAGACTAGCAGAATTCCAAGGAAAAGCTAAAAAAAACCTAAACTAAAAAGAGCATTAGAGATGGAAAGAAAGGGTAGAATTCAATAAATATTTAGGAAACGATATGAGTAGGATGAACTGATTATTGGTAGGGTCTAGGATGATTCCCCATATTTGGACAAAAGTAGATAAAGCCTCAGCATTTGGAAGTACAATAGATAGACAGATATAGGTATATATCTATACAACAGACATATCTATATATATGGATTTTTTTTATTTTAAATGTAGTTAACTGCTGTTGATGAGAAAAAGACCAAACTGTAAAATATTTGAAGAGGTTTATTCTGAGTCAGTATGAGTGACTCAGATAATATGAGTCACTACAGCCAGGGATGCAGCCTCAAGAAGTCCTGAGAACATGTGCCTGAGGTGACTGGGTTACAGCTTGCTTTTATACATCTTAGGGAGACAGAAGTTACAGGCAAAGACATAAATCAACACATGTAAGGTATATACATTGGTTCAACCTGGAAAGGTGGGACATCTCAAATGGGGCACATACAGGTCATGAGTGGATTTAAAGATTTTCTGATTGGCAATTGGTTAAAAAAGTTAAGCTTTGCCTAAAGAGTTGAAGTCAGCAGAAAGAAATCCTTGAATTACAATAAGCAGAGGTTGTGAAAGCCAAGGTTCTTGTTATGTAGATAAAGCCTCTAAGGTAGCATACTTCAGAGAGAATAGATGGTAAATGTCTCTTTTTGGACCTTAAAAGGTGTCAGATTCTTAGTTAAATCTCTTCGGGATGAGGATAAGACCCAGAAAGGGAAGGAGATTCTCTACAGAACATAAATTTCCCCCACAAGAGATGGCTTGGCAGGACCATTCCAAGATAATGTCAAAGAAATCTGTTTTTCAGTAAAATACTTCGATTTCCTCCAGGGCCTTTTATCTGTCATGTGATGCTATACCAGAGTCAGGTTGGAATTTGTCATCTTATTACTACAAAATGTCTGTTTTGTCAGTCTTACAACCTTTATCTTCATGTTAATGCTGGCCAGTTGTGCCTAAACTCCAAAGAGAATGGGGTATAATGAGGTATATCTGACCTCTAGTCAGATGGCCTGAACTAGTTTTTTTTTTTAAGAAAAAATATTTTAATAAGCACTTATTGAATTAAAAATGAATTAATATAAATTATGGTATTATATAAGATTATAAACTTCAACAAGATCGTTAAACATTTTCTAAAGTTCAATCTCCTAAGTCCAAAAGTGTCCTAATTATATAGCTATTTTATTAGTATTATTATTTTACTTTAAGTTCTGAGGTACATGTGCAGAACATGCAGGTTTGTTACATAGGTATACACATACCATGGTGGTTTGCTGCACCCATCAACCCGTCATCTACATTAGGTATTTCTCTTAATGCTATCCCTCCCCTAGCTATTCAGATTTCTTTGGAATCCCTTTGGCCAGGAGGGGCTCTGTTCAGTCAGCTGGAGGGCTTAGAAATTTATTTTTGGTTTACTTTGCATTATGAGATAATGGATACCTCATCTCTGGAAATACGTGAGCAAAGACCAAAGGAGTATTTTTCATCTTTTTTAGGTTATGAATCATTTCAGAATTAGATGGAAGCAAAACTACATACATGTGCATGCATGCACACACACACACACAAAGTACACACACACACATTTTTGTATATATATTTAACCTCTAAGTCAATTAGGTGAAGAGAAAATGAACTAATTGATCTTTTGCAAGGTATAGTGTAGAGAGGATCCTTGGGCTGACTATGAGGTAGGATCAGTGAGCTCTAATTAGCTTCCAACTCTCATTATTCTAATTCTATAAATAATAAAGTACTACCTGTTGCTGTGTCCCTGTACCAAGAATGCATTGCCAAACTCACCTCACCACGTTTCCATTTGAGACAGGAGTTTGGCAGGACTGGTTTCACAAGACACAGGTCACAAAGACGCCACTGATAAAACAGGATACAGTGAAGATGCTGGCCAAAACCAACGTGGCAACAAGAACAACCTCTAGTTGTCCTGGCTGTTTATTATATGCTAATTATAATACATTAGCATACCCAAGGAAACTCTCACCAGCACCATGACAGTTCATAAATGCCATGGCAATGTCTGGAAGTTACCCTGTATAATCTGAAAGGGGGAGGAACCCTCAGTTCCAGGAACTCCCTGCCCCTTTCCTGGAAAACTCACAAATAATCCACCACTTGTTTAAAATATGATCAAGAAATAACCATAAAAATAGCCAAACCAGCAGCCCTCAAGGCTCCTCTGCTTATGGAGTGGCCACCCTTTTATTCCTTTACTTTCTTAATAGACTTGCTTTCATTTCACTCTGTTGGCTTGCTCTTTAATTCCTTCCTGCACGAAGTCAAGAATACATGTGGCCTCCCAGGCTGAACCCCAATTTGGGGGTTTACCCTGTGACACATTAATTATTTACATGTATTGACCTCCTTGAGGAAGAAGTCTTTCTTTTACCCCTCTGGATGTCCCTATGGTGAAGCACAAGGTTTATTAAATAAGTCTTGTCAAATAACAACATGGGGAAATCAAAGTGGTATGGTCCTTGCCCTCTAGCAACAGCATCTGCTCTTTTCCTTCTCTTCCCCAACCACTACCACAATCCTTAACCATTAGAATTACACTAACTACTCAAGTTCAATTCTGTATCCTGAGATACTTAATGTTTCTATTGGACCCCAGTCATACCATTAGGGAGTTACATGGAACCCGTTTAAGATTTTGAAGGAAATCTTGATAGCCCCAAATTATGTACCCCAGCCCCTCCCCCCAAAAGAGATTTTTATCCTTTGATTACTGCTTAGGAGGGGATATGGCGGTGAAGTAGGCACAAGACGGGAATTTGGGGATTAACATCCAGTTCTTAACTTATTCTGGGTCCTACAATTAGCTCCCTTTCTCTCCTTGGGCTTCAGTGTTTTCATCTGTAAATGAAAAGACTTGACTGGACCATAATAGCTAATAGGCTTTCTTTTGGGCTATCTCTATCAGTTGGTTACAACTGCCTGGTACACTGTGCAGAGGAGGACTATGAGGCTGGGTCTGGGCCAGGGCTGAGCAGCACCCTGTTTGGATGGTGTCTGCAGTGGAAAGGCAGGGTGTGTGCTGGCAGTATGCCAGCCCCAGGGTGGATGGTCACTAATGTCCCCATTCAGCTTTCTAAGTCTGTGACTAATACCCTTATTTTTCAGCCTGTTAGCCTTTTTTGTTGGTCTCAATTAATGAATCTCCACATTTTTCATGTCCCTTTTTAATTGAGGAGACTAGAAGTGGATAAAGTTTGCTTGAAAACTTATCAGAGATATATAATGTCGTAGTTCCTAAATTCCACATTCCACTTACATGTCAAAATAGTTGCTTCTTTAATTAGAATTGAAATGTCAACCCATGATATATGGGACACATGACACTAATAATAACTTATTTCCAGCTGTAGAGAAATACATAATATAAAATAAAATAATTCAGCATAACATATTATATTAGTTTCTTAGACAGCTCCTGTAACAAATTACCACAGACTAGGTGGCTAAAACAACACAAATGTATTCTCTCACAGTCCTGGAAGCCAGATGTCCAGAATTAAGGTATTGGCCATCATGTTCCTTCTGAGGGCCCCAGAGAGGAGTCTTCCTTTTTCTTCCTAGCTTCTGGTGGTTGCTGGCAATTCTTGACATTCCTCCGCTTGCAGCTGTATTGCTCCAGTCTCTGCCCCTGTAGTCACATGGTACTCCTCCCTGGGAATCTGTGTCTCCAAATCTCTCTCTCCTTAGAGGAAAACCAGTCAGTGGATTTCGGGCTCACCCGAATCTAGTATGATCTCAACCTAACTTGATTGCATTTGCAAAGACCCTATTTCCAAATAAAGTCACATTCACAGGTACCAGAAGTTAAGACTTCAGGACATCATTTTGGGGGACACAATTCCACCCACAATACATATCATAGCAACTTCCACACTTGCCAAATAATTCATTATTAAATCATGACAGACATCCATGTTTCATCTTGCGTATCCTGATAATCATCTATAATTCTTTACCTGGAATGGTATCATAAGTTCTTGGTGAATAAAAACACCAGACTATAGTATAATAGAATCCTATTTACAGGATATTGTGTAAAATGTCTATATGTATAAAAATGCATTGAGAAATATTTGAATAAGGCAAGTATCATTTTTATAATAACAAAGCTTTAGATTTATAAGCTAGACACAACTAATAACACCAACAACAAAATATATTGTTTACAATGCTAAGACTTTTTAAAATAATAAAAGCAAAAGTAAAAACAAACATACAATTTAAAAGACATGCTTTTATATGTTGACAAAAAACAAAGATAATTTTGGCATTTATATTTAGTCCTAATCCTTTTAAAACCGTTAGCTAACCAATGATCAAAGATGAAAAGGGTCTTGCCTTCTTCCTCATAAAGGAAGAAATTCTTTCCCCGAAATCCAAAGTAACTGTATTTAATAGGCCACTTTTTGTCTCTTACTATTATTGAAAAGGCTGCCCCTATTATGTTATCTCTAAGTTGTGGCAAAAAGAAAGTTGACATCAGGTATTTGGCCTCAGATGAACCTACAATAGAGAAATCAGAAAAGCAGTGCAAAGAAGGGAGTCAAGACAAACATGAGCCTGGGGGCTGAACAGAGACCCAAGTATGCACCGTTCAGCAAATCTGCAAGGACAACCTTTGCTAAGAGCTAAAATCAGTGGTCAGTGGGGCATGCAGCTTCACTACTTCCACCTGTCTTTTAGTGTGTCATTATTGCAAATTAAATAATTCAGTTGAAAGATAAAACATTCGCTACACTGGCAGCAAAATCTTTTGATGCCAACATGTGACAAACGTAATTGAGTTCTCTTCCACTAAAAGTCAGACTATCATGGAGTTCAAATCCAAGTCTCTCAGACCTTCTGTGTCCCATTTAAAAAGGATGGTTGTATAGGCTCTGACATAGTTGACTTTTTAACTGCAAAGGAAGGAAGTTCCTTTAAGCCTAAAAAAGCAAAACCATCTGGTATTGCACAGCTGTGGAAATATTGTGTATCTAATTATTTATGGAGATACCTATGATTTGGCCTTGATATATCCCAAAAGACTTTGGAAAAGCAGAGTTTCATTGCGGGTTCAGATCAATAGCTTCTAAATGGTTATTCTGGTTCAAGATTTTTCTCATCAGAATGAAGAATGGAAAGATCCTGTTTTCATTAAAGAACCACAGAACTGTCATCCTGGTTTATGTCAAGACATCAGAGAAGACATGCCTATGTAGTCCTGTAGGAAAAATCATTCTGACAGTCATTCTATAACTTTGGCCTTTAAACTTCATCGGTCAGAACAGGTGACAGAAATATATTTAACAACAAATGTAGTATCTAAACCCCTAGTTATTTATTGCCATATATGCTCTACAGATTAACTACTAAGAAAGGATAATCTACCCTTTATAAATAAAATCACAAAAAAATGTAGAACTTTAGAGTTTAACACTTAATAGAGATTTTCTGCTTCATGTCAGAACACAAGATTAGGTTTTTTGGTTTTGTTTTTGGTTTTGCCAGACAAATCTTCCCACAGGAAAAAAAAATAGAAAATTAGAAAGACATTTTTAAACTATAAATGCTTGAAGGCATCAAAGAGTTTCAAAAACTTAGATTTTTCAAAGAGAGAAAAGGGGCACAGAGAAATGAGCTCAATATTCAGTGTGTTTTACCCTTAAGCCTCTGCCAATTTACCAGTGGTGTCTTAAGGACTGAAAAGTTGTGCAGAAGCCTGTGTCTAGAATGATGAGAGACCAAACAGAACTTCCAACCCTCTCAAGAGGCTGAGGAGGACATAAATTGGAATTCAGGGTATACCAAGTTCTGTAGTTTGAATGTGTGTCCCAAAGCAACAGCATGGAGAGGTGGGGCCTAATGGAAAGTGTTTATCATGAGGGCTCCTCCCTCACGAATAGATTCATGCTGCTATAGAAAAGGCTCATGGAAGTGGACTCTCTCTCTCCCACTCCTGTTTTTTTGCCATGTGAGGACACAATGTTTCTCATCTCAAGAACTCAGCATTCAAGATGCCATCTTAGAAGCAGAGAGGCTAGGCCCCAACCTGCGAGCACTTTGGTTTTGGACTTCGCAGACCCCAGAACTGTGAGAGAATACATTTCTGTTCTTTATAAATTATTCAGTCTGTGGTGCTCTTTTACACCACCATAAAATAGACTAACACACCAAGGAAAAGGAATCTTGATAAATAACCAAGACGTTCAGCTAAGACTCCTGAAAGACAATTGGGAATCCCTGTAAATATGATGAATCAGAAACAATGTTGGATTGGCCATCAAAAACACTAAAATGTAACTTTGAATCATCTCAATTCCTGGCTAGATTAAGGTGACATTCCACTATGCTAACTGCCTAAATCAAAACACAAGCAAATCCTTTTTGAAAAAAGATTAAAATCATTCAGAATCCAGTTTCTCATATATGACATCTAGCATTAAATCCAAAATTACCAGGATACAAGAACACTTGACCAAAAATCAAGAGAATAATATATAATAGTAATAGATCTACCAAAACCTCATTAGAGTAATTAGACATGAATTTGTTTAAATTGTGATTAATACCCTCAACAAGTTGATGGCAAATTGAAGAATTTCAGCAGAGAAATGGAAATTATAAAAAATACGAATTTTAGAATTAAAAATATATAAGCAAAATCAAGAATACACCTAATGGGTCTAATAGCAAATTGCATACAGCTGATGAAAAGATTCATGAACTGTAAGTTGGTAAAAATATACAGACTGATGCATAGAGAAACAAATAGAAAATGCATATACAAACCTCAAATAGGATGAATACAAATGAAAGAACACCTAAGCACATCATGGTAAAACAGCTGGAAATTAAAGACAAAAAAAAATTATAAGCAGGGAGAAAGAAGACAACATTTTATTCAAAGAAGCCAGAAGACTAATAAATTGACAGATGACTCTACAAAAGAAACAATGAGATCCAGGAAAAATGGAAAAACATAATGAAAGTATAGAAATAATCCTGTTGCTTATTTAGTCCCACTCTGAATCACCTATCTCTGATGAGAAAACTACTCCCAGAGAGGTAAGTATCTAGCCCAAGATAACAAAGCAAAGTCAGACCAGAATTTTAGGTTGCCTTAAAATTCAGTCTCCTAGTTTACTTGTATTCTTCCCACTCAAAGAAGATAAAAAACATTTTACCCTACCAAAGAAACTACTCTTTTCTGTGCATACCTTTTTCAAATATGTATTTAGGTATCCCTTCAAAGAAAATACTTTTTTTTTTTTGAAGATAGAGTCTCACTCTGTTGCCCAGGTTGGAGTGCAGTGGCATGATCCCAGCTCACTCCACCTCCACCTCCCAGGTTCAAGCAATTCTCATGTCTCAGCCACTTGAGTAGCTGGGACCACAGGCACGTACCACCACACCCAGCTAAATTTTTTTTGCATTTTTAGTAGAGACAAGGTTTCACTATGTTGGCCAGGCTGGTCTCAAACTCCTGGCCTTAAATGATCCACACACCTCAGCTTCCCAAAGTGCTGGGATTACAAGTATGGGCCACTGCACCTGACCAGAAAATATTCTTTATATAACCCAACTGCTAAATTTTCACTAGACATATTAACACTTCTGAAAACATAGATTTCATTTTTGCTCTTTACAAAGAACTCTTGGAACTAGGAGAGTTCCTACTAAAAAAAAAATCCCTGAAGTATAAAATTCACTGGTTCATTTTAAGTACTACATTCCTACTTTGTCTAAAAATTGGGTAAAAGGGAGTATCATTTTACTGTGTGCGTGACGCTTTATTCAACTTCAATTCCAATATCTCAAACAGGACACAACCACTTTTTTAGACAACCTCTATAGACCCATTTTTTAAAAAAAGTTTTGAACATATAAAAAAATCTTTTGGTGCTTAAAAACTTACACTTGCCTAAGTCATCTATTCCACAGCTCTGGCAGTAAAGATTAATAAATGTCATTCTTCTTAATGCCACATCAGAAAATGTGGCCTTTCAACATGCACATTTGTGCAATTCAAAACCATGGGGGGTCTCCTTAAATGACTTTTCCTGAATACATTCAGGGATACACATTACTATGCATGATGAAAGAGATCAGTAATGTTTCTCATTTTTATAAGACATTATTTCCATTTTTTACATTACTGTAATAAAGAGGATATAGCAAATAAAATGGAGGCAGCTCACTATTTAGAAATGTAAAGGTGATAACACTTGCTATAGGAATTTTCTGTCAAATTTACAGGAAAGAATTAGAGATTGGAAAGCCTGAGGAATTAATTCTGGGAATACGAAAGCATTTTCTGTGTAGCTGAATTAGCAATGCCCTCAGATTGTCTCTTGAAATACTGCATAGCACTGAGGGCACCAAATGAATAGAAAAAAGTAGGTTCATTTTGCTGCTACTAAATGCAGAACTTTATATCCCTGACTAATGTTTTAAAACTGGTCATTACCTAAAAGTAGTCTCATTATTTTTATTAACTGCCAATCAAAGCTTGCCCTTTAAGTAAAGTCCATGAGTGGGCAAAATCTACTTTTGCCATTGAAGATTTTGTATCTTTGCGGTAGAATCTGTTTAACGTTGTCTTACCATGCTAAATATCTCAGTAACCACCCATGTCTGTGCCAGATGGAGGTGACTGCTCTAGCTCCACATGCACCTGTCAGCAATCCAGCAATCTAAAAGAGTTAAATGACTCCATCTGCTCTTCCTGATTGCCTGGAGACTGCCCCTCAAATGTTAGTGGTTTTGTTTGTTAATAAATAATAAAAGGATGCTTTGTCAATTATGTGACTTGACTGATTCATAATTTGTGCTAACAAATTTCTGTCAATATTGAGTGAATCAATAAAGAAACATTTATTAGGTACTCACTGCATATCTTTATGGTACTAGTTGCTATAAGATATAGGAGAAAATAAATATATCATTTAGAAGGAAAACATACTTAAAATCTTCAGAGAATTTCCTAGAAATTTACCTTCTCCTGGTTGTCACCTCTGGTTTAAGCGCCTAACATTTTTGAATTTGTTTAGGGAACATCTCACCATCCTTTTCATGCATGCTGTTTAATTTCACACTACATTGACCTAGATGTGGAACTGTTTTAATTTCCCACAAAGCAATCAGTCCCCTGGATATCTATACACAAAAAAGATTTGACTGCAAATTTGGGATGTCAGGGAATTTGCATGGCCACAACACAAACAACCTGAAAATGCAAGTCGAGATATTTCTGCTATGAAAGTCACTCGGCCATTTGCACAACTAGAATTTCAGTCTTCTACCATGTTATGTTCAACTCTCTCCTCACTCCCTTTTCTCTTTCTTCTTGTGCTTCACTACCAAGTTCTTCTTCATTTCAAATTCACAGTAGCTTTTCATCTTGGCTTTTGCCAATCTGTGTATTCAGAATGTCTTCCTTCACCCCTAATTGGCTGGTCAAAGTGTTTTCCTTAAAAAGGCTATAACCTCCTTAAGAGGAATTCTGGAATCAACCATTAAAGTTATAAAATATTTTACCCTGATATATTAATAATTCCCAAAGCTATCAAAGTAGTGGAGAAAGTGGTAAACTCTCGCATTACTTCTCAGCTGTAGAGTCAATTTACACTGCTTCTAGAAATTTAACAACATTTATTAAAAATAATAACGTTCATATGTTTTTGCCCTGGAATTCCACTCCACAGAACTTCACATACTTCATAGTAAATACTCAATATATGATAGCTATCATTATTGGTTATTATTCCAAGGTAACTAAATTTATACCTGTTAAATGCACAAATTGTTCTTTGCAACATTATATATTATAGAAAAATTTGGAAACGGTATGTACAATTGGTGAACAGCTAAATTGAATACTAATATTTGATGGGATATAACGCAGCCACTAAACATTTCCATGTTACTACTGGAATATACCTTTATCATCTCACAAATTTTTTTGTGAAAAAAATGATCAGAAAACAAGGTAACATTTAGACTGATTGAAATCATGCAACAAACATGTACATAAATGAAAACTGGATGAAAACATATACAAAAGAAAAACAGAATATAAGATATAGTAGTGTGCCTACTGGCATTTTAATATTCCTTTTATTATTTCCCTTGTTGTTCTGGCTTTCATATAATAAAAATCCTAATAGTTCACTGTCACCAACAAGTTCTTTCTCCAAGATGAACCTGAAAGTCAATGTAAATTTTGATGAAGATTTTAGTGAACATTCCATGAACAAAGTGTTTCCTTCAAAGGTGATTGCGATATCTGGAAACAAACTTGAGTATTATTTGCTTCATAATTTAGAGCTCCCTAGAAATGCTCTTGGATTGTCTGCTTGCATTTCAATGGTATCATAGTCTCTATCCTGCATGGTAAGTGGAGACCTCAGCTGTGAGGCCTAGTGGGGAATTTAAAGGTTTCTTCCTGGATTCACGGTAAAATGGAAGGCTTGCTTCTCTTGAGCCCTTCCTCTAGGGCTGTTGTCTCCAAAGTGAAGTGTGCACATCTCAGGTGGTACGCAAATACTAGGGCTTCTGCATACATTTATTTATATCTTATTCTTTTAAAACTTATTTTGAGTGCTTTTTAATTTACATATTATTTTAATAATTAGTTTCTCTAAATAACTTATAGGGTAATAAATACGTTTATAAGGACACCTGTTCAAAATCTTCTTTTGACAGATGTTTGAACAAAAAAACTTTTAGAGAACACTGCTCTGGAGATGAATTAGAAAAGTCATCATTAAATTTAGTTTCAACAAAAGCAGATGCATATCCTAATACATGATAGGGTATCCTAACCATCACCTCAGTTCAAGCATCTTGCACTGCTCTGTTCTCCCCCCTCTCATCCTCTTGACACACATATAATGGCTTCCCCACCATCACCCTGCCAAGTATCCAGGCCCTCTACTTAGCACTGGACTTGAGTTTGTGCACATCCTAGAGCCCTGAGGAATGTATCCACAGAGAATAATTAGGGGAGGGGAGTTCACCCATAGTTTTATGGCATGGATGGGTGTCACTCCTTAAGCAAGTGCTAAGTAGAAATGGAGCAAAATGCTCCAGTTTTAATGGCAGAATCAATTGTCAGAAGCACACAAAGTCAATGGCAGACTCTCACTCAGTAAAGGCTGAGTGATAGGACAATGAGGACACAACTTTCACGAATACCTGGTCCTCTAGGTGCACTCACTCAGCAATTCCAGAGCATTCTCCCTTCTCCAAGATCACCTTACCAGCTTCAAAGGAGGCCGGGCTTGGTGGCTTATGCCTATAATCCTAGCACTTTGGGAAGCTGAGGTCGGCGGATTGCCTGAGCTCAGGAGTTGTACACCAGCCTGGGCAACATGGTGAAACCCTGCCTCTACTAAAATGCAAAAAATTAGCCAGGCGTGGTGGCACATGCCTGTAGTCCCAGTTCCCCCAGAGCTGAGACATGAGAATTGCTTGAACCCAGGAAGGAGGTTGGCAGTGAACCAAGATCACACCACTACACTCCAGCCTAGGAAACAGAGCAAGACTTTGTCTCCAAAAGAAAGGGGGGGGCCTCTAGCCCCCATACTTACTCTTCTTATTCCTCAACCCCAGTTTGCAACTCGTAGTATTCATCTGCTGTGACTTCTATCACCACCACTACTAAACCAGTTGTAAACAGGAACAGCAATGATGATGATTATATACAGATGCACCATTGAGCACCTGCTATATGTCATTCATTGCAGTAGCTCTTTATTGAATGATGGATGCTAATAGATTTATAGAGATTCTCACAACAGTGATAGTTTATGGAATCAATCCAAGGACAATTTTATATATTTTTCTACCTGAGAGTCATCTCTTCATAGTTAGCTCTTTATGGGAGTTGCAACTGCCACTAAACATGCTGAGCAGGGCTTGCAGAAGTTTTAAATTTGCCCTAGTTTTGTTGTATTGTGCTGTTGTATTTTAAGTTCATATGCCTTTGGTCATAATAAGTTCCTCCAGGTTGCCAGAGTTCCTACCTCTCTATATTGTCTTACACTCAGCATCACATGGTTATGTTAACTGTTCAACTCTTTAAGGCATTGCATTTTCCTACCATTTTACTCTAGACTGAAAAGTATCTTTACAATGGATATTTGAGGCCCTCAGCACAGCTGACTCATTAACCATCTGCATTCACAATTAGACTGATGACCCCAAGAGCTTGAGAAAAATGAATGGAACAAGAATCTTTTGTGATTTAGTGGTGGTCTTTTACTATAGGAGAATCTTTGAAACAGCCTGAAATAGCTTTAGAGTTGCTTTTCCTTCTTGGCAGGGCCTTCTGTGTAATTTGTACATCCCAGTATAAAATGACTATGTGGGACCCCACATTCAGAAAATAAGACAGGGAAAGGCTGCTTACTGTTACTAAAATATAAAGCTTTTTGTTAAAGTACTATATTACTAATAAAACATAGCAGAGTTAAAACTGATAAATGAGTAACAAAAACGTATGCATTCCCAAAAATATTTTTGGTGTCCATTTTTTACATAAAACAATATAAAAATCTGTTAAGTAATGACTTGATTGATAAAATTTTTCTGCAACAAAATACTAGCAAATCATTTCCAGCAGGATATCAAAAAGTGAGTTCACCACAATCAAGTAGGCTTTATTCCTGGGATGGAAGATTGGTTCCACGTATGCATATCAATAAATACGATTCACCACATAAACAGAATTAACAACAAAAATCACATGATCATCTCAATAGACACAGAAAAGGCCTTCAATAAAATCCAACATCCCTTCATGATAAAAACCCTCAACAAATGAGGCATAAAAAATATATACCTCAAAATAATAAGAGCCATTTATGACAAACCCACAGCCAACATCATACCAAACAGGCAAAAGCAGGAAGCATTCCCCTTGAGAACTGGACAAAGCAAGGATGCCCACTCTCACCACTCCTATTCAACCATAGTACTGGAAGCCCTAGCCAGAGCAATCAGGCAAGAAAAAGAAACAAAAGGCATCCAAATAGGAAGAGGGGAAGTCAAACTATCTCTCTTCATAGACAATATGATTCTATACCTAGAAGACCCCAAAGACTCTGCCAGAAGGCTTCTAGAACTGATAAACAACTTCAGTAAAGCTTCAGGACACAAAATCCATGTACAATAAATAGCAGCATTTCTATACACCAATAACATCTAAGCTCAGAGCCAAATCAAGAATGCAATCTTATTCACAATAGCCACAAAAAGTATAAAATACCTAGGAATATAGCTTACCAAGAAGATAAAAGATTTCTACAATGAGAATTACAAAACACTGCTGAAACAAATCAGACAACACAAGTAAAAAAACATTCCATGATCATGAATAGGAAGAATCAATATTGTTAAAATGGCCATACTGCCCAAAGCAATTTACAGATTTAATGCTATTTCTATCAAACTACCAACATTATTTTTCACAGAATTGCAAAAACCTATTTAAAATTCATATAGAAATAAAAAAGAGCCTAAATTACCAAAGCAATCCTAAGCAAACAGAACAAAGCTGAAGGCATTACACTTCCTGACTACAAACTATACTACAAGGCTATAGTAACCAAAGCATCATGGTACTAGTACAAAAACAGACACACAGGTCAACCAAACAGGTTAGAGAACCAGAAATAAAGCCACACACCTACAACTATGATGGACCCCTTAAAACTGGATCCCTTCCCTTCACCATATACAAAAATTAACTCAAGGTGGATTAAAGACTTAAATGTAAGACCTAAAAACATAAAGATAAAATCTCTAGAAGAAAACCTAGGAAATACCATTCCTGATATTGGCTTTGGCAAAGAATTTATTACTAAGTCCCCAAAAGCAATTGCAACAAAACCAAAAATTGACAAGTGGGACCAATTAAACTAAAGAGTTTCTGTACAGCAAAAGAAACTATCAACAGATTAAACAGACAATGTCCAGAATGGGAGAAAATATTCACAAACTATGCATCTGACAAAGGTAATATCCAGACTCTATAAGGAACTTAAAAAAATCAAGCAAAAAACAACCCCATAAAAAATGGGCAGAGGACATGAACAAAGACTTATCAAAAGAAGACATGCACACAGCCAACAAATACATGAAAACATGTTCATCATCACTAATCATTAGAAAAACGCAAATCAAAACCACAAGACACCGTCTGACACCAGGCAGAATGGCTATTATTAAAAAGTCAAAAAACAACAAATGCTGGTGAGGTTGCAGAGAAAAGGGGGAACTCACACACTGCTGGTAAAAAGGTAAGTATGTTCAGCCACTGTGGAAAGCAGTGTGGAAATTTCTCAAAGAAAGTAAAACAGAACTACCATTCAACCCAGCAATCCCACTGAGTATATACCCAAAGGAAAATAAATCATTCTACCAAAAAGACACATGCACTCCTAAGTT